>NC_000011.10:97778485-98081515 GCF_000001405.40 Homo sapiens | reverse complement strand
AATAATCTTATTTGATTCCATATCTCACAACTAGAGCACACTGATGCAAAGGGTTGGCTCCCAAGGCCTTGGGCAGCTGTGCCTTTATGGCTTCTCTCAAGGGCTGGCATTGAGTGCTTACAGCTTTTCCAAGTACACAGTGCAAGCGTGTTGGTGGACTTACAATTCCAGGGTGTGGAGGATGGTGGCCCTCTTCTCACACCTCCATCACGCAGTGCTCCAGTTGGGACTCTGTGTGGGGATTCCAACCCCACATTTCCCCTCCACACTTCCCTAGTTGAGGTTCTCCATGAGGGCTCTGTGCTGTATCAGGCTTCTGCCTGAACATCCAAGCTTTTCCATACATCCTCTGAAATCTAGGTGGAGGCTCCCTAACCTCAACTCTTACACTCTGTGTACCCACAAACTTAACACCATGTGGAAGCCACCAAGGCTTACAGCTTGTACCCTCTGAAGCAGTGGCCCAAGCAGTACACGGGTCCCTTTGAACCATGGCTAGAACTGGAGTGATTGGGATGTGAGAATCAGCATACCAAGGCTGCACAGGGCTGTGGGGTCATCGTCCTGGCCCCCAAAACCATTCTTTCCTCCTATGTCTCCAGGCCTGTGATGGGAAGGGCTGCCTCAGAAGTCTCTGAAATGCCCTCCAGGCCTCTTCCTTATTGTCTTGCCTATCAGCACTTGCTTTCCTTTTAGTTATGCAAATTTCTGCAGCTGACTTGAATTGCTCCTGGAAAATGGGCTTTTATTTTCTATCACAGTGTTGGACTGCAAATTTTTCAAACTTTTACTCTCTGCTTTCCTTTTAAATATAAGTTCCAGTTTCAGGTCATTTCTTTGCTAATGCATATAAGATAAGCTTTTAGAAGCAGTTGGTCCACATACTGAATGCTGTGCTGCTTAGATATTTCTTCCATCAGATGCCCTAATTCATCACTCTCAAGTTTAAAGTTCCATAGGTCCCTAGAGTAGAGGCACAATGCTGCCAACCTCTTTGCTAACACATAACAAAAGTGACCTTCACTCCAGTTCCCAACAAATTCTTCATCTCCATCAGAGACGTCCTCAGGCTGAACTTCACTGTCAAAAACACTACCAGCATTTTGGTCACAACAATTTAACAGATCTCAAGGAAGTTCCAAACTTTCTCTCATTTTCCTGTCTTCTTCTGAGCCCTCCATACTCTTCAAACTTCTGCTCATTACCCAGTTCCAAAGTTGCTTCCATATTTTCAAGTATCTTTATAGGAATGCTCTACTTCTTGGTACCAATTTTCTGTATTAGTCAGTTCTTGCATTGCTATAAAGAACTACCTAAGACTGGGTAATTTATAAGGAAAAGAGGTTTAATTGGCTCACAGTTCCGCAGACTCTACAGAAAGCATGGCAGCATGTGCTTGGCTTTGGGAGAGGCCTTAGGAAACTTACAATCTTGGAAAAAGTTGAAAGAGAGGCAGGCACATCTTACATGGCCAGAGCAGGAGGAAGGAGCAGGGAGAGGTGCCACACATTTTTAAACAACCAGATCTCACAAGAACTCCAACACAAGAACAGTACTAGGGGGATGGTGTTAAACTATTAGAAACTTTCCCATGATTCAATCACCTCCCACCAGGCCTCACCTCCAGCACTGGGGATTACATTTCAGCAGGAGATTTGGGTGGGGACACAGATCCAAACCATATCAGATACTAAACTATTTTAAAATAATATCATTTGATTTTAAAATGTGTTTCTATTTTATGGGTCTAGAAAGCCACAGGAAAAAAAGGAATGTGAAACTCAAGAGATATTAGTATGACATATCATAAAGCATATCTGGAAATGAAACAGGATCTTCTTGAATGGGCTAATGGACCATACAGTGCAGCTTCATGTCTCTGGCACTGTCCAGTGTGAAAAAGAACAAGGCAATATAAAAAGTAAAGCAATTTTTAAAATAAAAACTATATCAAGGTTTTTGTTGTCATTTTTTTTTTGTAGCATGATTGTACTTAGTACTTAGCCAATTGATCTAGATTGGTGAAGGCACTATATAAATAGCAATCACTTTTGTAAATTACTGATACCTTATAGTCCACTTTTAGTTCTCACAATGATCCTATAATTTTGGTGTTTTTAACTCAAATTTGCAAACTAGAAACAGAAGCTGAAAGTAATTAAGCAACTAATTTAGTCTTTTATTTTTATTTTTTTACTTTTCATTTTTTTGAAACAGGGGCTTTCTCTCCCTGTCACTCAGGCTGGAGTGCAGGAGTACAATAATGGCTCTGAAGCCCTGGTCTCATGGTCTCAAGGTCTCTTCCTATCTCAGCCTCCCAAGTGGCTGGGACTATGGGCACACACCACCATGCTTGGCTTATTTTTTAATTTTTTTGTAGAGACAGAGTCTCACTATGGTTTTCCCAGACTGGTCTCAAATTGCTGGGCTCCAGCCATCCTCCCATCTTTCCCTAGCAAAGTGCTGGGATTGCAGGCATAAGCCACTGAGCCCAGCCCTAAACCAGTCTTTTAAATGCATGAATAACTATTCATATTATATCATGTCTGATTTTTAAACTAATTATTTATAGTAACACAGATACTTCTAAATATTATAGTCAATTCTATAAATTAAAATAGTATTCTCTTTACAGATTGTAAGCACTCATAGCTTTTATACATTTATTTATCTAATTTTCACAAATGATCCCTTTAATAAGCAATCTACAAATTAGGAAATACGTGTTAAATTTATTTCAAAGTATGATTCTTAAATCTTATCTTTTAATAAAATGAATATACCCCTCTGACCTTCGTAGATATGATATCTGTTGTCTCTAGGTTTTAGTTCCTAGTTTCTAAAGTAAGAAAATATATTAATCAATAGGCCATAAAAGCAATTCCTCATCTTAGACTTTTAGTCAAAATAAAATACAAGAAAGGAGAAAAATTTTTCTCATTTACAACATATTTTAAAATGTTATTGATTAGTCATAGAAAGAGTATTGTTATGCACATTTAACATTCCTAATGGGTTTTAAATTTTAGTTGCTTTATTAATTTTTTTTTTCTGAAGAACCCAACTTTAGCAATTGGAATATCATTGTTAACAAAAAGACTGAGAACTGCAGAGGAAAAAGAGAGAGCCCTATTTTCTATCAAGAAACAATCTGCAGATTAGGGAGACACAACCTCTAGTAGAAGTGAAAGTGTGCTCTCTAAGGAACTAAGGAAGGGTCTGGTTTAAATAGGGAAAGTTCTCACCCCAGTCCTCTATCAGGTCTGTTTATGCAAAAAAAAGTGATCGAACTTGTTTAATTCTGATTGGTCCAAAGTGTTTAGCCCTGATTGGGTGGTTTCCAAGCCCAAAACAAGAAGTCTCTGTCAGGTATTTCTTTGAAAGGCCATTGTTTGGGGATGGAGGGCGGTTATTCCAGCTACAGTTTATCATGGCACTCACAACCGGAACTGGTTTTACTTGATTGTAGAAAGGAAGGTCCTGTGCCACTTTTAAAATATCTTTCCTAGGACAGAGTATTTGATTGCTCCCACACCCAGCTTTGGCCACCAGATTCTGTTTTAATGTCAAGCACCTCAGTTAGCCACAGGGAGCCCATTTTGTCTGTTGGCCAGGGGCATACTTTAACATCGTGATAATTGTGCATTCTATTTAAACTTCATGAAGTTGTTTTGTTTGGATAAATAACATATTTAAAATAGAAAATGAAGTTATCTCACGCTCACACATATCCAATGACTGAAAGTTTTTTAAAAGAAAAGCTACAAGTTGAAATTTTCCACTATGCAAAAAAAAGAGAAATTATAACAAAATTTTATACTAACAACATTAAACACATTTGAACTTAGAATAGTAATGACAAAAATAATATGTAAAAGAGAAGGAAATGCCAATTTGGACTTAATGTTTTTAAACTGATGAAAGCAGGCAAACAAAATTGAGTCATTTAAAAATGCATGCCTTTCTGTCAAGATTTGAAGCAATGAAAGAAAATAAGAAATAAAAAAATACTGAGCAATTGCTTTCTAAATCATAAAAATAGTAAAGGAGAAAACATGCAAAGAGGCAAAATATGATTTTAAAAAAGTAACCACAAGCATAGAGAACTGGTATCTCATTATGAGAGGTGTTTCTGTCCTGAAATTAAGCCCTTTTACTAGTATTGTAGAATATATAAAAAAGGATGAAGAGAGACAAGTAAAACCACAGAAATTCTACATAGGGCACAAAGGATCTTTAAATCAGCCAGTCAATACATTCATACATGCATACTTACATTATACAAAATGGAATTATTATTTACTGAACACATTAGAAACCATCTATGTTGGTAGGATATTCATAGTTGCAGGGCTAATGGGAACAAATATTGGAGTCCTTTGCTCCTTATGGAGGGGATACACTTGTAAACTCCCCACAATTTAGGATGAGATTCTATAGGGTCTATACCGTAAGAGTAATGATGACCTAGGAAATAATCCAACTCTCTCAGAGACTGCAGCCCTGTGAGGGATCAATTCAATCCCTATAATAAATGACTCAAGGTCTGCTAATGCTTTTCTTTAATTGACTTGTGAATTTAAGGGAGTAAAAGGAAAACTAGTATGTTGTTAACATTATTTGATTATTATTGCTATGTATTGACAAGTATTCCTAGAAAAAGATGAGTTCAGGAACCATTAGACCACTTCTCAAACATAAAAAGCAGCACAGAAATCTAGCAAAGGCCAGAATTTGCAGAATTAGAAAATAGAACTGTTTCTCAACTCCAACTGGTAAAAGATAAACTATGAAGGCCTTGAGCAACAACAAAAAAACAATTAAAATTCAGCCTCAAGCACGAATCATATCAAGGTTATGTCTATTAAAACATTAAAAACAAACACCTACTAATGTTGCATTGATTCATCCCTTTCAATTAAACAAAATGGCTTAAGACTAACATATCTGTTAGAAGCTTCATAGGCTCAACATAACAGCATTTAAGCCCAGAGGGAAGAAAAAAATCTTATAAAGAATTATTGGTATGATTATCAGTACCTGTGGTAGATTGTAATCAAATAAATTTAAAGCCCACTATTGCTTTTGAAAAGTTTAACTGTTAAAATAACCAACATCCTAGACCAAAAGAATTTGTGACTGTTAAAAAATGTGAAATAACCCTTGGGGCACCCAGTTTCCTATGACCAGGAAACAGAGCGAAAGAGCTTCTCAGACTCTGGGGAAAGAAGAGTCTCCAAAATCAGATGTAGCCAATGAAGACAGTGGGAAAGAAAAGTACCTATAAGAGGATCAGAGCCAAGGGCCATGCAGAACATCATACTGAGGATTGTCTACCCTAGAACAGATCAAGGGTGGAGAAAAAGAAGCGGGGAGAGGGGAAGGAAGGTGGGGCAGATGGTGGGAGGGTGGAATCCTTCAGAATTTCAGAAATCTCTTCAGAATTTCAAACCAGATAGATAGATAGATAGATAGATAGATAGATAGATAGATAGATAGATAGATAAACAAAAGCAATTGTTTCAGTTCTTTTCTTCTGCCTGTTTGTCCAAGCCCGGTAATATTTTATCCAACCTGGATCCTGTTAGAAAGGAAAAAAGCCATAGGTTCACCAAGAGTTGAAATGAAATATGATAAATAAAGAAATGTTGTTGCTGTGTTATTGGGTTTGGAATGTAGTTGTTATCACACTGTAAACTCTAACTGATTACACCTGCAGTGCATCAACAACATGATTGATGTTTGAAATCTTGTACTGGATACTATTGGTGCTTTGTCAAGATTCCTTTAACTGTGGCAGTGCACCCATCTTCATGTTGCCTAGAATACTGCCTGCTCATATAGACCAGTTTCCTTCTTCTCCAAAGAACTTTCCTTGGTCAAATAGGAGCTGCCTAACTCTGGAGATTATGCTCCCACTTATCACAGTAAGCAGCCTGTGGCTGGTGATTGACAAACATACCTGTACTAAAAGCCCACTCCCTTGAAACAATAGGGGATTACATGTGCAAGTCATGCTCCAGATCTTTCCTATGAGATCCCACTAAAACTAGCCTGATACCTCCTAGACAATACCTGCTTAGCTTTTTACCCTCTACCCAATCTTCCTTCCCTCATTCCACACCCATTCTCCTTGAGAGCATTTCCTAAATCTTTGAAAAAAAATTCCCAGGTTAGATGCTTTTTTTTCTTTCTTTCTTTCTTTTTTTTTTTTTTTAGAAACCTGACCTAAGCTATAGAAATTATAGAAATTATTATCACTGGTGGTAGGGTAAGCAGGAAATTCTTGAAACTGCTCCCCATATCCAGTAATACAGAAAATAAAAAAGCAACATTGTATTCCAGGAGGAAGAGCAAAAATTTATGTCAATCTTAAAGACCAAAGGATGTAAGGGTGGTGGTTCCCATCAAATATTCATTTATTATACTTGTCTGACTTCTTCAAACTCCAAGAATGATCTAGAGAGATAACAGTGGACTACTGCAAACTCAACCAGGTAGTAAATTTATTTGCACTGCTTGGCAGATGTGGTATTTTTGTTACAGCAAATTAGCACAGCACCTGTCACCTTATGTGACCAGTGATAAAGAGAATACACTATTTTTGTCCCCATCCGAATGAAGGACCAAAAGCATTTTGCACTCATGAGGTAGAAAACATAACATATTTATGATCTTGTTCCAGGCTTTTTCCCCAACCTCTACTAGAATATAATTTGGAGGTATCTGGACCCTTTGGGCATTCTATTAGAACATCACACTGATCTGCTTTTATTTTTGACATTGTGTTTGTTGGGCCAAATGAACAAGATACAGCCAGTACTTTTGAGATCATCATAAGACACATGTACTTCAAAGGGGGAAAGATAAAACCTACACTGATTCAAGGAGCCACATTAAAATATTTAGAGGTCTAGTGGTCTAGGGCATATTGTGACACTTCTTCCAAAATAAAGGATGGTTTATTGCACCTTCATGACATTACATGAAGATGAAATCTCGTTAATTGTTAGGCTTCTTCAGATTTTGGGGTGAGCACCTTTCATATTTTAAAATGGGGTTCTGACCTGTTGTTGGATTATGTGAAAGGCTGCTAGTTTTGAGTGTGCTGCAGGGCAGGAAAATAGGCCCCATCTGTGGTAAATGCAGCCTTGCCACATATTGCAACTATGGCTCAATAGATACTATAGTCCATTTACATGATTTCCTCCCAGATCTGTAATCTGGCTCTGAACAAGGAGATAAGGCATTAACCACTGCCAATATGTCAACGCTGATTTTTGCAACTGACTACTTTAAACAAAAAGTAGACCATGATGCTGAAAAATGCTGAATACCAGCTTGAAGATGACTGCAGGCAAAGGTGGGGCACTATGATTGAGTATTCACTATATATTTTAAAGCAATGACTTTTATATAGTAGGATGCATGGGTCTGGAGAACAAAAGCGGGAAGTTTGATATCTTCACCATCTTTCCCAATAATCCATTAAGGGATTTGTGCTTGTCATCTTTAGAAACACCGGGCTCGTGATGTCCTATTTCCCAGAAAAGGAATTCTCGCCACTAAATATTTAGAGTCCCATTGAGCACAAAGCTATAGTTGTCACTGAATCACTATGGGTTCCTTGTGCCACTAGACCAGCAGACACAAAGATAAGTTACTCTAATGGTAAAGGTTACTAACCCTGATTTTCCTGCGCATAGGGGAGAATATGTTTAACACACAGGAGATCTTCGGGTGTATCGCTTATTACTTCTATAGCCATTTTAAACTGTAAATAAACAAGTGGAATGTACATGGACTAATAAATATACCTTGACAGAATTTCAGACCCTATGAAAGAGTCTAGGTTACCTTTTCAGACAAATTATCTAATCAGCAAAATTGCCAGTTGAAGGAAAGGGGAATTTAAAATTGTTGTGAAGGATAGAGATTATGAGTATCAATCGCAACCTCAGGATTAACTGCAGCACATCAACTGAATTGTCCCAACATTCTTCCCTTAATAAGTTCTCCAAGGAATCTCAATCTTACTCTAAAAAGAGTAAGGGGAATCTGTCTGATATTATATCTATTTAGAGTTACAACAGTATGTGATTTTTTCAAAGCATTGCAAGCTAAAAATAATGAAATATTTGTTTTCTTTTCCTCTCTTGTATGAACTTTTATCCAACTCTGATTATGTGGTAGTTGGAAAAATATTTCCCAAATTTCTTCTATGTAATTCACAAAAAATACTACTGAGAGCACTAATCTATTATGCATGCTAATAGATTATTTTTATAAAACAAATACACATAAGCATACAAATCAAAATTTTTAGTCGCCAAAATAAAAGGCAAACAAAAGAATAGGGTTCTTGCTGACTAGCTACACTGAAGAATACCAGCCTCCCTCTTATCCTCTCTTCTTGCCTTATTAAGAAAATGATCTTGATTACAAAGAATAAAGATCAACACAGTGGCTAGAACTTGTGTAAGTCTTTCAAAAGAAAGTACCCAGTTTGTTCTCCACTGAAAGACAATGAATAATGACATTTTGTAGGTAATCATTGATCCCAGAAAATTAACAATTTATTTAGAATCTTCATGCACATTAAATACAATATTCTGGGGTGTAGTGTCTATGCAACTTAATTTGGAAATTATGCAACATAATTTACACTTATGATTACAAAAACACTTCTGAAATGTATTCATACAAGTGAATAAAATATACACAGCAATGATACAGCTACAAACTGCAAGGAACTACACAGATAGATTTTACAGATATAGTGGTGAGGGAAAGAAATGAAGAACAAAAAATACTTACTGTTTGATGACCTTCATATGAAGTTCAAAAACACACAAAATAAATACAGTAAGTTTCTATTTAATGTCATCAGTCAGTTCTGGGAAACTGTGCTTTTAAGCAAAATGACATATCACAAACCAATTTTTTCATAGCATAGTTATATAATTAAGGGTTAAGTTTCTATAGTGTATTTCTGGTCACAAAAATATCACCAAATGTCTACATAAAGACCCAAAAACACTTCTAATATTAAACATTGAGCTGAATGTGGTCTACATATATGTTTAAGAAAGATTAATAAAAACAAGTAAGATAATCATTTACCCAATTTTGGTGAATCGTCGAGTGCTGGCGGTTGTAGTGGGGATGGGTTAAACCAATGAATAAATTTTTACAAAGCGGACGTTGTAAGGAGCATCTCTCACCACCATGCAGTTCAAAAACAAACAGTAATAAACATGGCTGGCTTGTTGTGCACTTTCATACTGTTCCCAGACCAAACTGAAGGTCGGCCTGGTATTTCTCATGGCCCAATAACAAGATGCAGATGAGCCACAATCAAACTTGTTTAATCCTAATCGGTCCTATTAAGAATTCCTTGGTTATTTTGTCATGCTTTAAGGCCAAGGCAAAACTCTTGGTAAGCTTTTGTTATACCCTAGCCGCTGTATAAGGGCATTGGGCTTTTAATATTTAACTTAACCACTTAGTCAGTACAGAAACAGTTGTTATGGAGGCTTGGGTTAGTGAGACGTCGCTTGCCACAATACTACACCGTTAATTGTCATGCATTTATATGATTATATTTTATGAATTTCTATTTTACAATAATTTGTATCCATTCATTCATTTTTCAACCCCTTTATTTTAGTTTAGGGTCCCAGGTGGTAGAAGCTGTCCCTGTAGCGCATGCGTAAGGCAGAAACCAGCCCTGGACAGGGCTCTATCTCGTGGGAGGGTACACTCACAAACACCTCCACACACACTAAGACTGTGACCATATAGACACACCAATTCACGTGACATGTACATCTTTGGGATGTTGGAGGAAACCAGAGTACCTGGAGAGAAAGTGATTTTTTTTTTTCTCATTGACATTATAACAAAAAACATTATTTGAGGACCCTCTGTACTGCATACTGTAGACAATTATAAAATCATGTATGTAATCTTTTGTATACAATATCTAAACATAGAAAACATATGCTAAACATGGTATAAAAGATAACAAATTGTATAATTTTTATATACAGGACACTTACCACAAATGGAGCTTGCAGGTCTGGAAGTTGCTCTGGGTGAGGGAGGGAGGGAGTGAGTAAATGTGAAGGCCGAGGACATTACTGTACAATATCTGGACTTCTTGAACACTGTACACTAAGGCTACACTAAATCTATTTAAAAATCTGTATTTTTTCCTTTACAATAAATTAACTTTAGCCTACTGTGACTTTTTTATTTTTATTTTTTGAGACGGAGTTTCGCTCTCGTTGCCCAGGCTGGAGTGCAATGGCGCAATCTCGGCTCACTGCAACCTCTGCCTCCCAGGTTCAAGCGATTCTCCTGTCTTAGCCTCCTGAGTAGCTGGGATTACAGGCACCTGCCACCACGCCCAGCTAATTTTTGTATTTTTAATAGAGACGGGGTTTCATCATATTGGTCAGGCTGGTCTGGAACTCCTGACCTCAGGTGATCCGCCCATGTCAGCCTCCCAAAGTGCTGGGAATACAGGTGTGAGCCACCGTGCCCAGCACTCTATAGATTATTTAACTTTTTAAACTTTTTGACTCTTCAGTAATAACATGTAGCTTAAAACACATACACATTGTATACTGCACAAAAATATTTTATTTCAATCTTTATAAGCTTTGTATACTTATTTTTGTTTTAAATTGTTTCTTTGGTATTAAAAAACTAAGACATGAACACACACATTAGCCTGGGTCTACATAGTGTCAGGGTCATCACTATCATTGCCTTTCATCTCTACATAGTGTCCCACTGGAAGTTCTTTAGGGGCAATAACATGCATGTCTCCTATGATAACAATGTCTTCTGGAACACCCCCTGAAGGACCTGCCTGAGGCTGTTTTACAGTTAACTTTTATTTTTTAATAAGGAGAAAGCGTACACTCTAAAATGATAAAATGTATAGTATAGTAAATACATAAACCAGTAATGTAGTCATTTATTACCTTTATTATTATGTACCATACGTAACTGTATGTGGTAGACTTTTTGATGACTGACAGCCCAGTAGGTTTATTTACACCAGTACTACAGACAAATAAGCTGTTGTGCTACAACTTTGACGACACCTAGGACATCACTAGGAGATAGGAGGAATTTTTCAGCTCTATTATGGGCCCTCTATCATATATGCAATCCCTTATTAACGGAAAATGTTGCTACAGCTGTACACAGTAAGTCGTCACTTAACCTCCCTGAGAGGTTCTAGGAAACGGCGTCTTTAATCAAAATGGCACGTAAGGAAACCAATTTTACCTCAGGCTAATTGAGATAAGCAAGAGTCAAATTCCTGTTGAGGCAGCCAGTTGAGAGAGGGTCCCCGGAAAAACTTCAACCAACCCGCACACTGAGGTGGAGCCTTTGGGACTTTTGCAGCGGGGAGGAGCCTGGCCCCTCCTCTTCCTGTGTGGACCCTCGGATTCAAGCTGCTGGCGGGAAGTGCGCTAGGCGGAGCTGTGGTCTAGCGAGAGTCCCTGTTTCCCCCTTTTCTTCCTTTTCACAGGATCTCACCCCATAAAACCCTGTCTTACCATTCAAATTGTCTGTAAGCCTGAATTTTCGCGGCCCTAAGACAAAGAACCTTGTCTTTCACTGAATTTAAAAAAAGTCCTGCAACATTTTTGGTGCACAACGTGGGGGTTCGAGAAGCGGTGAGTGAAATGGGGACTCAAAACCTTTCACTGTGGTTTATAAGCCTTTCTATCCTCCAACTTCTGAGATTAGGGGGAAAATGCCCCCAACCCCTGTATAGGGGTCGGGAAAGACAGGCGAGTGGGGGCTCCTTGCTCCCCCTCCCCTATGTGCCTGGGCTAGGACGCATAACCCAAGGGTCATGCACAGCCGCTGTCTGGTTCCCAGCCACAGTGCATCCTTCCCCTTCCCCGCCAAGGGGTTTTACTCCATTGGATAGTAATTAAACTTTTATCCCTGATGGAGGAACCAGTTGCATAAGACTAAGAGGTTCTGGCCGGGCCGGTGGCTCACTCCTGTAATCCCAGCACGTTGGGAGGCCAAGGCGGGTGGATCACGAGGTCAGGAGTTCGAGACCAGCTTGGCCAATATGGGGGAACCACGTCTCTATTAAAAATACAAAAATTAGCTGGGCGTGATGGCGCGCGCCTCCAGCTGCTCGGGAGGCTAAGGCAGGAGAAGTGCTTGAACCCGGGAGGCGGAGGTTGCAGTGAGCAGAGATTGCGCCACGGCACCCCAGCCTGAGTGACAGAATGAAACTCTGTCTCAAAAAAAAAAAAAAAAAAAAAATTGGTTCTTTCCAAGGAATTTTTAAACTGTTTCTTTCCTTCCTCTTCTCTACCTCATCAGCAAGTTAACTTTTAAGGTTTTTTTTCCCCCTTCTAGGAGACGTTTTACTAGGCCAGATCCCCCAACTATCACTATTTATATTTGTAAAGTTTTGGTTGTAAAAAATGAACTTGTGGGGACGGGGTTTTCTTCTGCCTGTGTGTGTACTGTGTGTGATGTCTGTAAAAAGAGCTCTGATTAATTTCGCCTAAAGAAAGACAAGCGCTTGGATCTAACATTTTTTAAAGGGAAGATAAAAGCTGTGGTACCTTTCAGTTCATGTGACTTTAATCTTTGATAAGTAGAAACAACCTTAAAGGTTATTGGTAAAAAGTAGATGTCATCAAAATGTAAATAGGTGGGCTAAATTATGAAGGTCAGATGCAAGGTTTGCTAAATGTTTTGAGGTTACAAACTGCTTTTTGTGTTTTGAGAACTATTTAATTTGCTGGCCTTCTCAATTGGTAAGGCCTGGGGACATACGGAACTAGCCACGCCTTTAATTAAACTGGAGTCAAACTTGGCTGCACTTAACACACAATTAAAGCAACTTACCCCTTTTTACCTGAAAGTTAAAAGTTGCTGGGTGTTACCATTATAACATATAAATGAAACTATTGAAAATAGATTGAATGCAAGGGGTGTAAGAACAATAAAATGTGTTTTTTAGTAAAAGGTTATAAGAAGGCTTGGAAATGTAAATTTTTCCCTAGGGTTAAAGGATTGTTTTGAGTTAGATAGGAAAGCTGAAGGTTCAAACAAGTGGTGCAAAAGTTTTGGAGATTAATCCTGCAGAACAGGTTCTCTGTGTGAACGTACTGACTAAATGCAAAAGGGTATTATGTGGTTTTTCTGTAAATTGAGCATTGAAATAAAAGCATAACAAGGTTTTCTTAAGGTGCTAATCTGTCCTTTGACAAAATTTGTAAAGGGTTATAAAAGGCTTTTGCTTTTTTAAACTTTTTGAGTCATTTTGGCAAAATAACTTATGGTAATCTGGACTTCTGTTTCATAATATGAAGTGCTTTGAACCTTGAACACATTTAACAGGCTTCCCAAAATCAAACTTAAGTTTCAAAATTGTTTTTCCTGACACCTGGCTTTTGGGATAGTCCAGGGACTCCTGGAATGTCCAGAAAAGAGAGGTAAACAGGATTATTTGACATGTTTATGTATATGGGCTGGCCAAAATGATGTTCAATATTCTTTAGGTTATATGTTGGTAAATAATGCTAATATATGTTCCAAAATTGTATGGGATTTCTAAAATTCTAGTGTCTAAGTATATACTATCAATTATAATCAAGGTTGTTAAGTTTGTAAACCACGGAGGTAACCAAACTTCTTTGTCAATCGTGTTTCTAAGTGTAACTACCCTGGACATTTTGCTCTTCACAGACAATTGTTGTCTTATTTTAATCCTTTTCAAAAGACGGTTTATAATAAGCTATAGAACTTAAACAGGTGCTCTCAAATACAGACTTGTGATAACTTTGAAGGTTGTAACATTAGAATAAAGGAAAATGTACAGGACTGAAAAAGAGTTGAAATGTTCACAAATATCAAGTAAAACAAGAGTTAACTAAATGGACTGAATTCAGGAAGCTGAGGCAAGTCTTTCTGACTTTTGCTTGGAATATTGCTGATCTTTGTTTTTCAGAGTCAAGAAAGCTTATTTTGAACTATTTACAGCCTTTAATAATTAAGGTGTACACTCCTGTGATCAAAATTTGGAGCATGTTTGTTTCTCTCTGCCTGGTTCTTCTAGAATTTGGAAACCATCTGTGAGTATTCTTATGGCAATATAGTTGTTTGCATCAGTGCAATAAGAACCCATTTTTCTTTTGCAACAGAACACAATTGGAGAAACTGGTTATTTTACAAAGGCTTTGACTGGAAGGGTATGCTTCCCTTTAAGGAGTCAATCTCCACTTCTGGAGCCAATAAAAGCCCAGTGGGGAAACTGGCCTCATACCCCTGTCTATGCAGTCCCTGTACAGGGTTCCTGACCTGTGGTCGGTAAAGAATGTCACTTTCTAACAGGTCTAGGAGCTCGAAGTTTATTATGGGACCTTAAGAGGAAAGGATCACCCAACTCACAGGTGTTTGAGAATGCAAACCCATTGTTGAGCTTGGCTTTAGAAGGTTTTATCTGAGATTACTTGTGGAACAAACTTCCATCAAAGCCAATTCAAAAGGCCTCTGTTGAAATAATTATTCTTGCTGCACTTTATGCAAATAATCAGTCGAAGTATAAGACTAAAGTCTATTTTGCAAACCAGTCCTGTGATGATTTTTTAACAAAAATGGACTGGAGAGAGAGAAATCATGTTTCAAAACTTATCGTACGTTTGTCATTAAATTCTAAACTCACTAGTTGTTTTTAAGTTTTTGCCTACATTTTAGACTAACCCTGCTTATTCCTGTGAACCTATCAGCAATCTCCAGTGGAAGCTCAGAAAGAACAAAAGGGGATGGGTAATGTAAAAATCTGGATCAGTATTCCAGTTCAGAGAAATTACCCTGCAAATCCTTCCAGGTGATAGGAATAAATAGGGTGCCCATCACCCCAGGGGTTTTCCTTGGAGACAGTAACACCAAGGGAACTAACCAAAGCTAAGCACCATGCACCCAAATCCTAGGAAGAATAACTATAGGTACCGGTTATCTGAGTGTGTTAACAAGACATCCTTTTCTCTCCCTTGTTGGAGGAGGACTCAGTTCCACAGTTTCACATCAGCATTCGACTTACATTAAGGAGTCCATGCAACCACCCCCCAAGACACATTTTTGTCCCGGACTCAATCCCAAGCTTCGGGTCAAAGCCCTAGGAAAGAAAACTGGATCTGAGGGCTTCAGAGGCAGATGATAACGGAAGTTAAAAGGCAGCAGCGCAGGTGTGTGTGGCTGATTCGTGCCGATTACGCCAAGCCGAGGCTGTTTCATTGATAAAGGCCACATTAATATTTTAACAGCCCAATGGGTTCACCTTGCCCGCTGCCTAGACAGAGCCGATTTATCAAGATGGGAATTGCAATGACGAAAGAGTAATTCACACAGAGCCAGCTGTACAGGAGATTGGAGTTTTATTATTACTCCAATCAGTCTCCCTGAGCATTCAGGGATCAGAGTTTTTAAAGATAAGTTGGCAGGTAGGGGCTTGGGAAGTGGGGAGTACTGATTGGTCGGGTTGGAGATGGAATCATAGGGGGTCGAAGTTAGGTTTTTATCTTTTTATCTTCTGTTCTTGGGTGCAATGGCAGAACTTGTGGAGCCAGATTACTAGTCTGAGGGGTGTCAGCTGATCCATCGAGTGCAGGGTCTGCAAAATATCTCAAGTACTGATCTTAGGTTTTACAATAGTGATGTTATCCCCAGGAGCAATTGGGGAGTTTCAGACTCTTGGAGCCAGAGGCTGCATGACACCTAAGTTGTAGAGACGCAGTCTCCGCTCTGTCACCCAGGCTGGGATGTAGTGGCGCTATCTCGGCTCACTGCAACCTCTGCCTCCCTGGTTCAAGCGATTCTCCTGCCTCAGCCTCCCGAGTAGCTGGGACTAATGGCGTGTGCCACTGCGCCCAGCTAATTTTTGTATTTTTAGTAGAGACAGGTTTCACAATGTTAGCCAGGCTGGTCTCGAACTCCTGACCTCGTGATCCACCCACCTCAGCCTCCCAAAGTGCTGGGATTACAGGTGTGAGCCACTGCGCCTGGCCGTAATTTCTAATCTTGTAGATTATTTGGCATACCTGCAAAGGCAGACTGGACCCCAGGCAAGAATGGGGTCTTTACGGGAGAGGGGTGTTATCAATTTTGTTTCAGAGTCAAACCATGAACTCAGTTCCTTCCCAAAGTTAGTTTGGCCTACACCCAGGAAAGAACAAGGACAGTTTAAGGGTTAGAAGCAAGATAGAGTTGGTTAGGTCTGATTTTTTCACTGTCATAATTTCCTCGGTTATAATTTTGCAAAGGTAGTTTCAATATCCATGGCATAAATGAGGTCTAGGGTGGGAAAGAGACATAGGTGAGAGCAGATAATTCCTATTCTCTAAGCTTCTCTGCTCATGGGCGCAGGCTGCTTTGGTACCCGTGGTGGTCCCTGCCAAGGTCACTGGAACTTGGGGATGCAAGGACGGAAGAGGGAAAGAGAACACTCTTCCCTGTCTTCCTCATGTGCCTCAAGTATCTGCTGTAAAGAGAAGGGAACCAGGCATGTCTGCTGCCCTCTTTCTAGATGGGTAGCCATTCATCTTCAGTCTGTACCCCTTTAGAATGCATCCTAAATCCCTGGGACTTCTTTGAAAAAAACGCTTTCTTTTTTTCTTTCTTCTCCTGGGTTCTCTCTTCACAGATAGGTAATTGTGTCTCCTTACTATAGGACACTCCCCTCAGATGCATCCTCCAAACTGGAAGGAGTTGATTTCCCAGACCTTAAACTGGTTGACTTAGGATTGGGCTCAGGGGAAGGGAACCAGAAGCCCAACAGGCCAGAGACACAAAACTGGTACCATTGGGGTTTTTTTAGGGCTCCCAACCACAGCACAAGGAATAAGAAAAATAAAGAAACTGAAATAGCAGGACATATTAAAGTATGTAATTTTTATTGCATGTCTTCAGTTGTTTACTCTTGATTTTCAAAATGGCTGTAACTTGTAAGCAAAAATGATCATGCTCTGAAATGTGGGACTGTCTTTCATGGAAAGATAATTCAGCATTGATCATGTATTTCAAAATAGAATCTGCTTTTCCCCAAAAATATGATAATTTGTTAATTCTCACTAGTTTTATGTTATGTCTTAGTAAATAAAACATCAAAATATAAAATGTTGCATTGATAAGCTATCTGCCTTTTTTTTTTTTTTTTTGAGATGGCGTTTTGCTCTTGTAGCCCAGGTGGAGTGTTGTAGTGGCACGATCTTGGTTCACTGCAACCTCCGCCTCCTGGGTTCAAGCTGTTCTCCTGCCTTAGCCTCCCAAGTAGATGGTATTACAGGCACACACACCTGGCTAAGTTTTGTATTTTTAGTAGAGACGGGGTTTCACCATGTTGGCCAGCTGGTCTCAAACTCCAGACCTTAGGTAATCTGCCCGCCTCAGACTCCCAAAGTGCTGGGACTACAGGCGTGAGCCACCATGCCCGGCCAGTTACCTGCTTTTTAAGCAAATGAAAAGAAACTGCCTTATAGGTTTTAAGGTATGAAGATTTTGGCATAGTAAGAAACCTCTCTAGAGAAGGCCATCAACTGTATTCTGATACTGTGGGGTCATGGCATTATTTAAAAGTTAACTGAGGTTATTTCTACAAATTTTATTCACTTTAAGAAATTGAAATGTGAAATTTCTATAGAGAATGAGAACTTCCTTTGGAGATGCCACTTAAATGTTATGTTCCTATTGTCTTTAGGGTAATGTATGCACTTTACATTCTTAAAGAGTGACATAGTTTGACTATGTGTTCCTGACCAAATCTCATGTTGAATTGTCAATTTCCAATGTTGGAGGTGGGTCCTAATGGAAGGTGATTGAAACGTGGAGGTGGATTTCTCATGAATGGTTTAACACCGTCCTCTTGATACTGTTCTTGTGACAGTGAGTTGTTCTCTTTTTCTTTCTGGCTCTCTCTTTCATCTTTGTGTCTCATGTTTGTATGTATGCGTTTTTGGGAGATCTGGTTGCTTAAAAGTGTGTTGCACTTCTTCCCCCTACCCCCTCTCTCCTGCTTTTGCCATGTGATGTGCCTGCTCCCCATTCAGCTTCTGCCATAATTGTAAACTTCCTGAGGCTTCCTTAGAAGCAGATGCCACTGTGTTTCCTATATAGCTTGAGGAACCGTAAGCCAATTAAAACTTTTTTTAAATATAAATTACCCAGTCTCAGGTATTTCTTTATAGCAATATGACAACTAGTACTTTTGTTGAGAAAGTTGATCATAGAAGCTCCCTTAGTAGTTTAGCTAAAACTAACAGTAGTCATGAATATATTACAATAAGTAAATAAATTACTAAAATGAGTGTTCATTGCTTACTATATGTCATGCGTGTTATAAACACTGTTCTCTCTTAAAATTCATAGAAATCTTTCAAGTTAAGTAATAATGAAATTAAATATACATGTATAGATATGTAGATTGTCATCTATTTTAAATTGTAGGGGATTTTTCTAGTTTTAGGCGAATAGTAAGCTATTAATTTAAAAGCAAAGAAGAAATGATACCCCACAGGAAATTAAAATGCATATGCATTGAGCTAAAAGAGGTGATTAACATTTTTATTTAAACATAGAGGTAATTTCATAATTTCATCCTCTTCCTTCCCCTCCCCTTCCCTTCTTTTCCCTTTCCTTCCTTTCCTCCCCTTTCCTTCTCCTCTCTCCTTTTCTCCATCTCTCTTTCTGGGTCTCTTTCTCTCATATTTGTATCTCATGTTTGTATGTGTGTGTATGTGTATCTGTATGCATAGCCACCGGAAACTATATATGTAAACACAGTCTCCTCAGAAAGCACTAAGAATACTTTTTATTCCAGCACAAATGTTCTGATCAATAAATGATAATATCGGGCTTTAACCCATGTTTTCTGATTTTAAGCAAAGTCTAGTAAATTAAATTAGATGATCTGTCTACAAAGCACAGCCATTTGATTCATGAAACAACTGAGGCTAATGAAGCTCTTTTCCGTACCTCTGTCTTTTACAGATTTTCTGGTCAGATTAAGCCAAGTAAAATGAACTTAACTCAAAGCCTTGAAGACAGAAAAACTTATAAAAGTACAGCCTGCAGTATTCTCATTCAGAAAGAACAACAGGGCAAAAGACCTGAAGAAGGAGCATACTGCGGTTTTCAGAATACCATCGAGGAGGAGAGAGGTAGGATGTGAGATTGAGAGATAGCCAAAGCCCCCTGTAGCAGAGCCTCATATACCATGATATATACCATGATAAGTTAGAGTTCCTCTAAATGTGACTGGAAGCCAATGGAAGGGTCTATGCAAGAAGGGAGTGACAGGTCTTGATTTATATTTTAAAAGAATAAACTACCATGTTAAAGGCTGCTGATTACTTGAGTATGACGTTTACAAAGAATTCCATTTGGCAAAAGAGGTAATTGCTGACCTAGACAAGAAGTGAGTTTATAGCTAGAGGACAGTGTGGGAATCAAGGGAGGGCATTCTTTGCTTTGTTTGTTTAAAGATGGGAGGTTTTACAGTTTTTTGTTTTTCTGCTTAAGAAGAACATAATAGTTCAGTGTTTAAGATCATAGAATCTGGGGCCGCATTTCCTGGATTCAAATTCTGGCTTAATTCCTTTATCTGTAAAATGGATTTGATAATGGTAAACCATAGGATTAAATAAGGATTACAAAATCAAGACATGTGTAAAGCACCTTGAAGTTTTCTTGGCACATTGTAAGCATTATATATTATTAACTATAAAAGAAGGAAAAATTTAAATATAGAGGATATAGAAAAAAATGCGAGAGAAAAATCAATTGAACGAGAGACATGGAGTGAGAACTGGTGCACCATTAAGGATTTGACATTAGGTTGGAACAGGCATGGCTCATGCATTGAACAGGAGGGATGTCACTGTGTGTGTTTGATGAGGCATGCACATTAACTCTTCCTTGAGAGATAATTTATGAGGAGGAAAAAAACACCTCTTTTCTTATATTTGGGCATGTGTGATTTATATCTTCCCATGGAGTGATACTGTGATTTATTCAAGGTATCTTTATTTGAATGACAAAACTAGAATAAAATATTTCCTAATTTTACATATTTGTACTGGCCTTTTTCCAAAATTCATTTTCTGAAAATATAAAGCATATGTCTAGAATGTCTGCTATGAAAAAGTAGAGTGGGCTAATTTTATGACTGCTAATTTTCCTTTTGTTTTAAATTATTTCAATATGCTATGAATAAATAATTAGAAATAAACACATAATGAATTGGGTAGAGCCACCCTGTCTTTAATGGATAAAACTTTTATTTTCATTAAATAAGAAACAAATGATATTAAAATCAACCAATTTTTCTTCCTTAGGCGTTACCTTTAAACACTGACAGATTCACAGTTAAAATAACAAAGTACTTCTCACTGTGCTTTTTATATATAACAATAAGATACTGACTAAATATGCCAGTACATTTAATCCTTACCTTTTTACTGATATATGTATTTTGCTTTGGTAATCAAAATTAGGAATGCTTTCCTTTCAAAAACCTGAATCAGCACTTGACTCCTGCCATTATGGTTAGGTAATATTTTCAAATGGAACAAACATGTCATTAAGTAATTGAAAATAATACATGAGGGGAAATTTTAAGATTTCAGGTCAATAATTATGGTTAGTTTTATGTAATCCTTCACCTGATGATTTGTAATGTTATTATATAAGCCATCTTAATAGGTTCGTGTGAACTTTGAAGGAAAAGTAATAGTTATATTTCTAATTCCAGTGCTACTGATGGTATCAACATATCATTTGAGGACAGATACATCTCTAGGTTTCTCCTGGTTTATTTGGGGTCATCAGTAATTTTATAGCAAAGATATTTATAGAAAAATATTTCAGGAACACATGAAACCATGAGATTACTGATATAATATTGCTCAAAAACATGTTTATTTACAATAAAAATATTAAGACTAGAGCAAACAATTCTATATCAAGAGCTCTGCAAGCAAGAAAAAAAATGCTTACTAACAAATTATTGGTTTTAAATAGAAACAAAATAAAATCAACCTCAGGTCCCAAATTACCACGAAAGTGGCTTCCTCTCTTTCTCTGTATATGTTTGTGCATGTGTGTGTATGTGTGTGAACTTTTACACCTGAACATACCTTATATGTCATAATTATTATTTCCTTACTATTATCTAATGGAAGAGTTGGTAGACTTTTTCTCTAAACATCAGTTTCTAAATTTTCTTAGGCTGTGTGAGCCACATGGTGTCTGTTACAACTACTCTACTCCCTATTTGTAGTGTGAAAACAGCCATGAGTAACATGTAATTGAACAGGCATAGCTGTATTCCAATAAAATTTTCTTTAGAAAACTGGGCAGAAGGCCAGTAGTAGTTTGCCTACTCCTGCTCTATTAGATTTTCAAAATAGACACATTATTTAGGAAATTTGAATGCAATGCTTTTAATAATTTGGAAAGAAAAAATTAGAATTCGAATAAATAGGATACTATAAATTTATATAGAGATATAATTGTGGATATAGTCATAGCTATAAATTAAGATACGAATATCAATATTATTTTGTAGCAAATGAGGATAAGCAGAGGTCTTTGGTTACAGTTTTAATTTTTACTTGTTTGTCTTGCTATCCTTGTCTAAATAGCATACAGTTTTCAAAATAAGAATTTTATAGAGGGAAATTTTGATGCCATCCTGAGGTAAAATTACATAAATAGCAGTGAGGGAGGACATGCATGCACATGTGTGGACACACACGTGCGTACACACACACGTGCACACACACGTACACACACACGTGCACATACACACACTTGCTTCAGTTAATTCAGATATATCTGCCTTACCATTTGATTTTCAATTCCTCATCAAAACTTGCTATCGTATTTTTAGCTATATTTAACAAAGAATTCAGAGAGAATGAATTCGAAGAATTAAAAGTATTAGAAAGTTATATTGGAAATCTGGATTCAGGTTTAGCTATTCTAAACTAGTTATTTTTCTGTCTTCGTAACATTTTTGAAGAACAAAATTTTCTGTGTAGTATTTATAATATCATAGATGTCAGGACCAAGTGATTATTACAGATCCTGGTTTCTGGACTTCTCCCCCGCACCTGTAAGAAGCCTGGGAAAGAGCCCTCTGGATGAGGGTGGAACCCATAAGCCCTTGAATCTGAAAGTACAATGGACAGAAAGAGAAATGCTAAATAATTTTTACCAAATATTGCTTTCAAGAATTTTTTTCTCATGGGCAATGTATTAAGTGATGTGAAGAACTCACAAATTACATAGACATAATCTCTGTGTTCAAGGAACTTAACAATTTTATAGATGAGTGAGGGCAATAAAAATAATTTTCAGAATTCAAATTTAGAAACCTCTTTCAACAGAAGGAAGGCTAAGAATTTTCGCATTCATCGTTCCAATTAACCAGGGTTCACAATATCAAATACCTGACAAGGTCAAATGGTACCACCTCACAGTGATTCCAGTTAAATAGGGACAGAAATAGAAGATAGAGAGCATGTCTTTTTAAAGGAGGTGACCACTACTTGGCTCCAGATTTATGTTTTGCATTTCTGTATTCAACTGAGCCAGATAATCACAAGTTTTCATTCAAAAATAAATTAATACAGTACAGGCCAAACAGAATATATTTGATGGTTGGATTCAATATTTGGTGATACTTGTATCACTGGTATTGACATATCAAGCTTGTATAATCAGTTCCTCATATTTCACATGATATAACTGAACATCATAGATAGTAGATGTTTTCAAATTCACATGACCATTATGATGGAGAAAGGGTTCCCATGATAACTAATATAGGGCAAAATCTTGCTAACATGAACATTCAGGAGGACACTAAAGATACTAAATTAAATGTACTCAAATGCATTGAGGTGTGTAGAACTGAGGACAGAGGAGTGCCAGAGAAGCACTACTTTTTCTCATATACCCTTTTAGGTGCATGTTATACATATAAGTCAACTTATTTTTACTTGGAATTAGAGACCAGTATTACATATTCTCTACACATTGGCTGCCTGAGCTTGATGCCTGCACTAATAGAGTCTCCAAAACACGAGACTCCTCTGTGATTTCTGTCATGACTCTCCCCAGCCTACCTGGGATTTATCTCTTACATATCATAGCACTTTGTCAATTTTGGAATTGGAGATTAAACACCCCATAGGTCAATCCTATCTGAGCATATGCTATGAGATATGAAATTTCGAACCTGTCAGTGGCAATGTTTCTTACCATATCGGAGAACCAAGTTTTCAGAGAGAAACAAATTAAGATGATCCACTGATAAAAGCATAGAATATGTATAAAGTAAGTACTGGCAGTATTCAGGGTCCTGAGGGTCAGCTAAACTAAACACCTTTTCTTCTTGAGTTTTAATGGAGCATACTCTTTTTTTTGAGATGGAGTCTGACTCACTCTGTCGCCCAGGCTGGAGTGCAGTGGGGCGCTCTGGGCTCACTGCAACTTCCACCTCTCGGGTTCAAGAGATTCTCCTGCCTCAGCCTCCCAAGTAGCTGGGATTACAGGCATGCGCCACCATCCCTGGCTAATTTTTGTATTTTTAGTAGAGACAGGGCTTCACCATGTTGACCAGGCTGGTTTCAAACTCCTGACCTCAAGTAATCTGTCCGCCTTAGCCTCACAAAGTGCTGGAATTACAGCCAGGAGCCACTGCACCCGGCCCTACCCTGGGTTTAATTGTCAGTATATCCCATTACACTTCTGAAAACCCCCTCTAAGTTTGCCTAAAATATTTAGAATTATAAATTAGATTTCTATTGCTTATCATCAAGGGGGTCTTGCCAAACACCATACACATGAACACACATATATGCATATATACAAACACATACTTTATTAAAGGAAGCAGCATTTATTACCATCTGTCTGTCTGTCTCTCTCTCTCTCTCTCTCTCTGTCTCTTGCTCTGTATAGATATGAAAATATAGAGTAGTTCTAAGGTTACCAAAGGTGACGGATTCAACAGACAGTAAAAGGATAGTAAAAGAATGTTATGAAAAACTTTATGTAAATGTGTTCAACAAATTAGATGAAATAGAAAAATTGCATTCCAAAGCACACTCAAGAAGGAATATAACACCTGAAGAGCTTTATATTATTAAAGGAATTGAATTTGTATTTAACACCCTGTAAGAGAGAATTTTCTATGGGTTTCTTCATATCTGCATATCTTTTGAGCAGAGAGGCACTAACTGCCCTTTGTTTCAGATAACATTTTTAACAATGTTTAAAGAGCAAACAGTCTTGGAAGATAGAGGCAATGTCAGCCTTGGGAGGTTAGAGAATGTTTCCTTACAGTCTCAGAGGACAGAGATAGTATCTGCCTCTAGAGGAAAAGACAGGCTCACCTACTGTTCAGGATGGCAACAAAGTGTCTACAGACCACGGAAAAAAATATGTGAGTTTCATTAACTAAAGGTTCCTCTCAAATAACACAGCTCATTGCATATGCAGGCAGCTATCCGGGTCCAACAGGATAACATATGAACTTAAGTGAAAAGGGAAATGACACAAATATGGTAATACTTATGATGCTTCCTGTGCTGTGAGTAGTCAAGTTGTCTTGTGTCCTCTTTCTGTATTCACAAAACTGTGGCAGGCTAAATTGTTGGCTTGCATGTTGGCTAAAATCTCAGCCCCTACCTCGTTTTTGACAAAACCTTCCCACACATAAAGCTCCAGGCCTGGATGGCCTTATCTGTAGATGTTTGCATGTCTAGCAAACATGCATGGAAAAAATTATACCAATTCTAACAAATAATTCCAGAAATTTCAAAAAAGAGTATTTCTCTACTAATTTTATAAAGCCAGTATTGTAAAGTATCAGTATTACCCTGATACCAAAACCACACCAAGTTACTACAAAAATAAAATTATAGACCTAAATTCTTAATGCATATACATGAAAAAATTATAAACAAAATTTTAGTAATCTCTCTCTTATCGGAGAAAATGTATGCTTATTTTCATAGGCACAGGAAAGGTGCTTGAAAATATCTAATATCTCATTCGGATAAAAACTCTTCAGAATAAAAATGCGAGGAAGTTCCTAAATATAATAAAGGGCATCTAAAAATACCTGTAAGTTAATGCCATACCTACTGGTAAAAACATCAAAGCAAAGATTCTTAGATACGACACCAAAAATATGACCTATGGAATTCCAAATTGATAAATTGAAATTATTAAAATCAGAAAGTTCTACTCTATGAAAGTCACTGTAAAGAGAATAAAAAGATAACTTACAGAGAGGAAGAAAAATATTTGCGAGTGACATATCTAAAAAATAACTTCTATCCAGAATATATAAAGAATTCTTGAACCAGATGTGGTGGCCCACACCTGTAAACCCAGCACTTTGGTAGGCCGAGGTGAGCGGACTGCTTGAGCTCAGGAGTTCATGACCAGCCTGGGCAACATGGTGAAATCCCATCCCTACAAAAAAATTAAAAGAAAAAAAATGGCCAAGCGTGGTAGAGCACACCTATTGTCCCATCTAATCAGGAGGGTGAGGTGGGAGGATACTTTGAGCCCAGAAGTCTAGGTTGCAGTAAGCTGAGATGGCGCCACTACTCTCCACCCTGGGTGACAGAGTGAGACCCTGTCTTAAAACAAACAAACAAACAAACTTGAAAACATAAGGGTAAGGGGTAAATATTTTAGCAGACACCATACCAAATTAGGAATATAAATGGCAAATAAGCATATGAAATTGGTACTCAATATCATACGATATTTGGAAGAGAAAAATTAAAATTTTTCTGACATTTGATTTGTGAGATACTATTACACACCGATGAGAATGGTTAAAAGTAAAATGAGCAACCATACCAACAATTGGCAAGGTCCTCTCCCACTGCTGGAGGGAATATGAGACAGTACAGCATGGAAATATTATGAAAGTGTGAACAAAACAGAAGTTTCATAGTGAATTTGTTAAATATAAGGATTTAAATATTCAGTTTTAATTCCCTTATTTTTAAAATGTTTGTATGTGTGTGTAGCGTAGGTGAATAATAGGACTTATTATTTAAGAATATGAGAATCAAGTGAGATAATTTACCTGAGTATAGTTTATAAATATAAATCTCCAAACCTAAAGATGAAGTATTATTATTATTACTACTTTTTTCTTTGTGAAAACTACAATATTTTTTCCATCATGTGGTTGTATTTTATTTTCATTTATTTGCCTTTTATCTTTCTTATAGTACCTGTAGAGCCCAAAATTGGCTCAGTTCTACTAGGGTGTAACACCAAATATATATGAAAAATATGTAAGGAGAATTTTATTGTTTCTTACAAGTATAAAGCATTTTCAGTATCATCTAGTTAATGAAATTCCTCATCTGAAAGGTTAAATAGGTTTATCAATACCGCTGCAGAAAAAATTAAATACAAAAATTGGACCATTATGAAGAATGAAAATAGGAAATTTATGGGTAATGTGTTACCTGTGGAAGAGTCCAGGTTGATCGTGGAGATATAAAAATCACAAATCCCTAAGAATGTTTGTATCTCTTATGTTGATGGGTCAGTGGTTAACAAAGCCACTTTTCCTTTTCTAAAATGAGATGAGAAGTAAGAAAATTTTTATCTTTCCTAGTATGAGAACACATGAGGAAGGACTCAAGTGGCAAGAACCAGTTATTACATGGGTAAAGCAGGACTGCCCTTTTCTAGTAATCATTTCATTAAATGAGCATTTACTGAGCACCTACTATATAAGCCAAACACAGTCCTAGTTGTTTGAAGACTATTTGTTACAATTCTTTGTGACTGGATTTTTTGAATCCAAATTAACTATTTTGTGCTTTATGTATGTGTTCTTAAAACTGCAGAAATTTGTGGCAGATTTTAATTTATATAGTCTTAGTGTAGCTCTGTCACTATGCAACATGTGGTTATATGCACTGAATGTGCATGGAATTTTGGAGTCTTGAAAGGAGAGTCATAGGTTCCTCAAGGATCTACGTTAGTACAAAATCTGTTGCTGAAGGGATACCTGCAGGTAAGCATACAGTTGCAGGGAACTTTTTAGGTATTCATTGGAGAGAGATCTCACAGGGAAGAAAACAAGTATTGTCCAAATGCCTGCTGTTTTATACTGAGCTTCTAAGAAAAAGCTGTATGATACCATCTCTTTATCACTGCTATGTTTTGAAAAAAATTTCAAATAATTAACTATCCTAGCTGCAGTGAAAGGTCATCAGAGGGCCAAAGGATGAAAAGCTGGGGATAAGATCCTGGAGCAGTTTACTTTGAAGGCCCCAAGCACATAACATAGATGATCTAGTGAATACCTGCAATGGTTCTATAAAATTGATATGGGATAAGTATTGTTATTCTTTTAGTGCTTTGCACGGGAAATATAAAAATCATCAAATAGAATTTTCAAGCCCCTTACTCAAAGAGCTCAGTGTTGAATTTTTCTTCTGAGCTTTGGGCTGCTTCCCCAGATGTCAGAAAGGATGAACCATAATCTCTCAAGGGCATGTTTGATGTGATTCACGTAGGGCAAAACAGATTGCAGAAATTTATAACCTTTTTTTGAAGAGAAAATAGAAGCTATATTCAACAAGAGATGGAGAAAAGTGAATGCTATTGAGCAATAATCACCAGCAAGCTGAGAGAACTGCAAAGGCTTGAACTCAAATTTCTGAACAGAAAAATTTTGATCAGATACAAGGTAAAAATAATTTTTAAGAGCTGTGGAGAGATGTGATAGAAGCAGACAAGATCCTGAAATGTAAAAGATATAGGAACTCCCCTAAAAAAAATGTGCTTACCTTTTATTAGTTGAACAGATGGTTCCTTAATTTTTTAATTCTAAAATAATTACCATATGAAGAAAGAAAATATTAATTTTCATATGAAAATAAGGAAATAAAATGAGCACAATGACTACAACTTCTGATGAACTGTGTTATTGAAATGGAATTTCTGGACTGTCTTCAACATGAACTATACCTAGTAAAGAATATTACAGTGTCTTCCTCTCAATATGTAGGTATGTGTCTTAAACACACTGCAGCCCTCACACACTCACACACAGACATTCAAATGCACATACACATGCACATGCATGTACACATACACAGAGAATACTATTATACAAAAATATATTGAGCAACTTATATGTGCCAGTCATTGTCTTTGGAACTATGTATTTCATCTGATTCCCATACTAACACAAACACTTTAACCATTTTGGTCTGGTTTTATCAGACCATTTAACTAAGGTGAATTAACTACAGCTTACCGGATGTTATTTATATAAATAACACATAACAGTTACTTTCAGCGCTGTGTATCTAGGTAATTTAGATTTTTAAATGTTCATGTGTTGTGTCCATCATTTTCATCTATTTCTTGCCTTTTTTTTAGTCTTCCTCTTACTTGTCATAGTCATTTATCCTCTTAGCTTAAATACAAGAATCCATAGTTATTTGTGTTCCAGTTATTTATGTATGAATGGGGGCCATTTCTTCTCTTGGGCCCAATAATAATAATCCTAATTGTAGAAGAGCACAAGAAAAGTGTTACTGAAGTTTATTGGTTGGCAAGAGATTTGTGCTTTACTCTTTCCTAAGAGCCCTTTATGATGGGTTGCTTGAGATTCTTTCTTCTTTTAAAAAATTGTGATAATTCTTCTTCACAGCTAAATTAATGTAAGGTTTTTAAAAACAAAGTATACTTAAATAGATAGGTAGATAGAGCTAGCTCAGTGCCTGTCATATAGTTAATATTCAGAATATGTAATTACTCTTTCTTCACTTGTTCCTTATTTATGTTTTAATTAGGCTTAGGTGGTTTTCAAATGGTAATTGATATTCTCAGATTAGTCAGTGTGTTTGTTTGCAGCGTGTCTTTCTAGGAGTCTCCCAAATCAAGCTCTATTATACACTTTATTACAGAAAAGGATTCCTTATATTGTCTTACTTACATCTACACTGAATAATAAGTTGACAGCAAACTGAACATATCAGTTCTGTTACATAAAAACATTATCTTAAATCATCAAGTTATAACAATTTTCTCAAGTAAATATATAAATAATAACTGATACAAAAACTGAAGTCAGAAAGCTTTTTCTCAAGAAAGCCAGATAGTTTATGTTTTAGGCCCTATGGCTGCTGTCATATGGCCTGCCATTGTGGCATGACAGGGACCATATGCAATACATTTTTAAAAAATGAGTTTGGCTCTGTTACAGTTAAATTTTATCTACAAAATCAAATAGTGGGCTGGATTTGGCCCGCAGACGGCAATTTGCCATCTCCTGATCAAAACCAATGTTTTAAGTGGATAGTGACATGAAAACTCACTGATGTGTCCCAGAAGAATTTTTTAAGGTCCATTAGAACAGAAGTTATCAATATTATTGATGACAAACTTTTGTGGATAGGAACAGTGTGTTTTTTCTCCACATTTTGTGTTTTATGTAGAATATTCACTAATTTTATTTTCATTTGTTTAGTTATATGAGAATATTTATTTAGCACCTAAAATACAAATACATGAATTCATACTCTGACTAAATGAAAAATAAAGCAATACTTTTTTTGTATGAGCATTGAAAATACAGTAATTCTAGTTTTTCTGTTGACATTCAAGAGAGGATATACTTAATACATACAATTCTGGTCTTCCTAAATAGGCACTGAATACAGAATACAGAACATATCAGAAGAGACAAATAATATGGTTATCTTGTCAATAGACATAAAAACTTGACACATAATGCTAAATTTATTTCTGAGAAAGGAAAGTGGTAACAGTTCTAGAGGTACTATGTGATAGTAAGTGAAAAAATGAGTTTGAGAAAATTGTCTTGTGAAAACAGACAAAATTCAAATAGAAGTAGAAGTCACATAAATTGAAGTTAAAAGCGATTTGAATAAAACTATTAATTACAGTCTCAGAAAGTAAAGATTGCATATTAGGAAAGCAGACATTTAAACTGAATGTTCAAAGTGCAGTAAGATATTTGAGTAGTAAAGCACTTTGCCCTTTTTACTTAGTTATTTGGCTTGTTTCCAATTACAAAAGAAAATATTATTCACTACCATGAAAAAAATGCACCTGAAAATTAAGATAAAATTTCATCATGCATTTTCATCTAAACGAGAGTAGTTTGAATATGCTAGAGAATGAGGACTTGACCAAAATTTGGTAATATAATGAAGTTAAGGTCAGATGGGAAGCAGACCTTTATTTAAGTTGTCACAAAGGAATAAAAGAAGATATAAAGACAAAAAGATTATTTAATTATTTAAATTTTGTTTTGCACTGGCTAGAACCTCCTGTACAATGTTAAACAGAAATACCGAGAAGAGCGATTCTTGCCTTGTTCCTATGTTAGAGGAAAAGTATTCAAAATTTCACTTTGAATTCTTGGCATAAGCCCAAATTGATCATGATTTATGAACATTTATATATATTGTTGGATTCAATTTATTAAAATTTTGTGAGATTTTTTTCATGTCTGTTTATGAGGTATCTTTTTTGGTCTGTACTGTTCATTTTTGACAGGGTCTGTCCCTGTCCCCCAGGCTAGAGTGCAATGACACAATCATATCTCACTATGGCCTCTAACTCCTGGGCTCAAGCAGTCCTCCTGCCTGAGCCTCCTGAGTAGCTAGGACTACAGGTGTGTACTACCACACCTGGCTAATTTTTTTATTATTATAATCTTTTGTAGAGAGGGAGGTCTTGCTGTGTTGCCCAGGTTGGTCTAGAACTCCTGGCCTCAAGCAATTCTTTCGCCTCAGCCTTCCAAGTAGCTCTGTGCTATTATTTATTCTTAGTGTCTGCAGTGATGATATTATGGGTAAATCTGCCCTCATACAATTAGTTGTATATTTTCCCATTTTCAAGAGACTTTGCAGCGTGGTATCTTTTCTTTAAAAAACCATCTGGACATGGAGTTTTCTTTGTTAAAGTGTTTTAACTAAAATTTAATTTATTTACTAGAGATAAAGCTATTTAGGATGACTGCATACATTTGTGTCATTTTATTCCTTGCTGAGAATCTTGATTTTTAGGGGGGTATGAAAACATACCCAGCTAAACATACTTACCTTTCCATACTCCTTTGTAGGTAGGAGTAACGATATAACACATTTCTGGCCAATGGGATATAAGCAGAAGTAGGCTGGGATTTTAGAATGTTTTTTCTTTCATAAAATAAACTACCCCTCCACCACTTCCATTTCCATTTCCAAGGACATAAGCTAACTTTTAGGAAAGATGGAGCAGACAGACAGAAAAAAATCTGAGTCCTCAGTGACATACTCTATCAGCTGTAACCCTGTGTACTAAGTCTAGACTTCTTATATGAGTTAAACAAGCTGGTAGTTTTATGCCATCATAGGTGAATGTGGAACATGAATAAAGTATATGGAAAAAAAATGATGTTTTGGAATAAAGACACACTGCTACATTTGGAAATTATACACTTCTTGTTATAAAATAGTAAAGTTTATTAAGATTAAGGATTAAACTTAACATCTGTTACGTTATGTCATATTTGCTAATAACTAGAATTTATAGTAGTAGGCTAAGTCTATTTTAAACAGTTCATAAAGAAAATAGATTCAATATAAGTTTATATTGCAAAATCTATGTGACTGTAGGACATATCTTAAAGACTGCTAGGGGTTTCTTTCCTTCTTTTCTACTTTAACTGCTGTACCCTATATGTTACCTTAAAAAGGCCATTAAAATGTTCTTTTCTTGAAGAATGCTTCAGAATATTAATAATGTGTTTGTAGTAAGTTGAAACATCTTGTATTTACAACAAAAGCATCCTAAAATAATGTCATTTCTTATAAAATGGTTTGATAGACAAAATCTCATTTGAAGCTATCTCTGATATAGTCATCTGGTAAAAAAACAGCATGAGTCATTCTTCATTTAATTACTTAGAGACAGTATAAAAGTAATATACATAGAAAGATAATGCAAAATCAAGAATTGTTGTGATACTTTTAAACTTCATTTTTTCTAACTTTTCACTTCAGGTGACATATGATGTGGAGAGGTAGAGGACAGAAAAAACACAAAGAGCAATGCCACAGAGTTTCCTAAAATGACATTTTTATTCCCTCAGATCTATACTGACAGATCTCAGGATTCATGCTTACATAAAGAGAAAAAACTGAGAAAGAAACAAACATTTTAAAAAATGTTACATAGAAGACATGGTGATTGATCTCAGTTTAGAACCCAGAGGTACTGACAGGGAGGTTTATTGCCTGCATTTCATAGGTGAGAAAACTGAAGCATTGAAAATCATGTAATTTATCAAAAAACTTTTCACTAAGGAGAAATAAAACAAATATTAACAAAAAATTAGTGAATAATTTCAATATCCATTAAATCAAATGTCTTAGAATATACATATTTATGAATTTGTACAAATGTATACATTTGTACGTTTATATATTGGTGAAACTACATGAAATAGCAAACTTTCCCAAAAATGGTAGCTGTAAAGGCAAATGGATATTTAATATTTATAATACATTTGAAAATGAAAATTACCCACTTGTTTTTCTAAACACTGAGTTGTCACAGAGTTTTCTGTTGAAAAATACCCAGATGATTAATAATAATAATGTATGCCAATAATAGCAGAAAATAGAATCATTTTGAGTCTGCATTATTATTTTCCAAAGCCACAGTATGTTATCATATATTTAAAATAAAACATGTTAAATGTATTCTAAGGGAAAATAAAAACAGGCAGCCATTATAATTCTGTCAGTTTGACAGCATCTAATTGGTTAAAAGCAGTCATAGATTAAATAAATACTGGATTCTGAACAGAAGTGTCAAGCCAGACTTACTTTGTGATTTGTGAATGATAAGGCAATTTTGTGGTACTAGTAACTTACGCATATGGATATTATAATTATTACACATTTTGTTAAGCTTGTGGAACTATTCCCCTCCCCAGCCATATGAACTTTCACAATTTACTTGCAGCCAACACAGAAAATTATTGCTCAAATCCTTCTTTAAAAAGTGACTTTCTAAACAAATGGAAGATATGTGGCTAGATAACAGCTTCTTACTCTTACTTCCTTGTAGTTTACCTCTGGTTGTGAGCTGAGGTTATACTCTTCTAGGGATGGCCCTCGCCGGTGACTAAACAGGACTGAGGTGCAAGCACCGGGCCATTAAAACCTAGTGTGGCACTCCTTTTTTGGGCAATCTTTACTGTAAAACCCTACTCTGATCTAGTAAAGACCTTGTTAGATCTATTTAATGGTCCTACCACTTCACCTGATCAAATTTGTTTTCTCCCTTCTCCTTTGTTAGGTATTACACTCCAATAATATTTCCTACTCCTAACTCATTCAGCATCTCCTTTCCAGAGGACAAAACTAACACAGAAGTTTCAAGAGTCATCTGAGAAAGCAGGGGGCAGGATGGAGTTTTAGGACTTGATGACTCGTGAGGCTGGCAATGAGGTGCCCATGCTGATTGGGCCATGGTAGTCCCTGGAACATGGTGGCAGCCCAGTTGCTAAAACTTTCCTCAGTGCTGACTTGACAGAATGTTCCAATTGATAGAAACACCCTAGTCTGCACAGTGATACGGGGCATTGGGAAAATATAGAGATACAGAAATGGGAAGGGGAGGAGATGGGAAAGGCACATATAAGGAAAATTGATTGGAATAAGCTGGTTATTGTTAACTTGTGTTGATGTCATACGGAGAGGCAATAATAAGCTAAAGGCTTATCAAATAAGTATAAATGTGAAGGTCAAAGGCTCTCTTTGATACTGTACAAGAAGAGAAGCAGCTGAACACCAAACTCAAGATTTAGTAAGCAGACTGGCTAAATTTCAAAGACAAGGCAATGGTCATCTAAGACAAGTCTGTAATGGCAAAGTTTGGCCCTGGGCAGTGGTAACATGTGTGGCTGTCTGGCCAGGGATCTAGAAAGAAAAAGGTTATAAGATGAGAGTCAAGGAGGTCTGTGTGGAGACATGCAAATGAACATATTGGAGTAGAAAAAAAGCATAAAGATTTTAGAATTTAGTTTCATGTCCTCAAGAAAACATCCACCAGAGAAGAAGCAACAAATAATCAAACATATAAAATTGAAGTAGCCAGGCTTTGTTACCAGTCATCCCAGAACTGGCACAATGTACCCATGAAAGGAATAGCCACAATAGAGTCATTCATTAATTCTAACAGGCATAGATAGCTATTCATGACTAGGTTTGCCTTTTTTGTTTAGTGGGATTTCAACCAGAACTATTATGAGTGCTTGTAGGATTTGGCATTCAACAAGAAGACCCACTTTACAGCAAAAGAGGTATGGGAGTGGAATCAATGGTCCTTTCACATGCTGCAGCACTCTAGGGCAGTTGGCCTTATAGAATGCAAAACGACCTTCTAAATGTGCAGCTGAAATGCCAGCTCAAAGAAAGCACTCAGAATTTTTGAAGTACCATATTTCAGCTCACAATGTATTTATGAAACCAGATATTCATATGGTGCCATATTCCCAAGAGGAAGTATATATGAGTCCAGGAAGCAAATAATTTGTTTATGCCTTACTTACAAGGGCTCTGAATTATCTACTTGAGAATTTTATTGTTTCTTGCCACAACAAATCTGGACCCTGTAGGGTTGTAGGTTCTGGACCTAAAAAGAGGGACACACTTACCAGGCAACACAGAAAAATCCCCATTGAATAACATGTTTGTTGTAGTTGCTGCCAGGACTTTATGGATTCATTTTGTCCAGGAACTGGCAGATACTGGCAAAGTTAACTGATCATGACCATCAATGTTGTCTTTCATTTTGTGAGCTGAGAGGACTATGTTTAGATCCCAGATCAGCTACTTGGGTACCTGCTGACAATCCCGTGCTCCATCTTAAATGCCAGTAAACACATGCTGTAACTTGAGACTGAGAAGGTATGATTACATAGGGTTCAGATGCCTCTAAAATAAAGATTTCTGTTATACATCTAGTTATGCCACAAGCTTTTGTGTTAGCTGAAGATGAGGAGATTCAGAATAGATTCTGGAGGAAAAGGAGTATGAATACCGGTGATGGGCCTGAGATCGACTTCAGTGATGGGGACTGTAGTTTATATAATTGTGTTCCCATTTCAGAGTTTCCCTTTAGGCAGAAGGGTCCATAGAAAACAAGAAACAGCTTATCCTTGAATCTGTGCAGAGGTGTAGATCTGTATGGTACAGAAAATGGACTGAGATGGTCATGAGAATGTGCCTCATGGACCTTAAACTTTGAGGGTGATAACTGACAAAGCATCCCATTTGGTACACTCTGAAATTTATCTTCATGTTTCCACCAAGGCACACTTTCCTCAGATTGCTGCCAGCCAATGACTGATTATTGTAAAGAAACTAATGCAGCCCATTCCTGAAAGAGATGTGAACCCTCAGTTGGCTGACATCGGCTTGAGGATGCCCCTGCACTCCTGCCAACCTTTTCTTAGACTATATGGCAGTGAAAGACATTTCTACCTAATGTTCTTCTCCCCTTCTTCACTCAGGATTATATTTGTATACTTTCATGTTTGTTCTCTGCCTTCCAAAATTCCACTCCTGTTTTCTTTCACACAAGTGTTTCTTGTAATAAAATCCCTGCATGTTTAGTTTTATCTTGGTGTTGCTATTTGGAGTACCAAGACTACACATTCTGTAAGGCCAGAAGACTCACCAGAGTATTATTTTACATATAAATGCCCAGAGGACAAAACAGTCAACAAGTCATCAAGAATTTGCTGATGAGAGTCATAAATGCATAAACTATGAAGTTCAGTGGTAGCTCTCTCCTGAGGGCTAGGGTTGATATAAGGGGAAGTGAACATAGGAGGTGGTTGATTGATGTCATTGAAATGATGGGACTGTTATTGGCATTGCTTATTGCCAGAAGCCAGAAGATTGCAATTATGAAAATGAAGTGAATTTAATCTTCAGTGACTTGGATTCAATAGTTATAGCCGCAATAAAAATTCAGAATCCTTTGTCCAAATTATCAGACCCGAGTCAGTTTTCAGACACTGAATCTGTGGATTGATAGAAAAAGTATCTGGATCCCAAAGAGTGAAGGCCCTTGAACAACATGGAGTGTATACATAGTAATGATTCCTCCATCCTTACCCCAAAAAGGCCTATAGACAAAACATGGGAGACCTCTGGTTTAAAACTTATCAAGAATTTCAAGACAGTGTCAACAGAGCTTTAAACTGAGTGAAGGACCCTCCTGAGCCTGGGTTCTGTGTGACTGCATAGGTCACCTGTCCGTGAAATTGGTCCTGCCTACAGTTTGTAACTTGGGTGAGTCTACATTGTGAAATAGTGATGATGAGACTTCTTGAAAACTATTAGAGAAAGGGTCTGAGTTACTGTTGATGTGAAACCCCTGAAATCTTGTGATGGTCCAACTATGTGAGAGATTGGGTTTGGGTAATAAATGGAACCTTTGCCTCAAGTCCAGCATACAGTGGGTCCATTGGATTCTTGGTCCCACCTGGTGATCATTTCCCAGTTTCTGAATGCATGATGGAGACTGATAGTCTTGGCAGATGAAATAACCCCGTATTGGAGTTAGAGCTATCTTAGTGGGAAAGCCAAGAGGAAGAAAACTGTCTCCCCCTGGCCAACATAGGAAATTAAATACAATATTGTATTGGTAGCAAAGACTAATGCTATACTTAAACAGCTAAAGAATACAGGAATAGTAATTACTCTCATATCCCTTGTTAATTTTCCAGTCTGGCCCTTGCAGAAACCAGATGGATCCATGAGGACAGTAGCCAACCAATTACAAGCCCAACAAAATTGGAACCCCAATTGTAGCTGAGGTTGTGTTATTGTTAGAGCAGCTACATATGGTCTTAGGTGCAGGATATGTAGTTGTTTGTCAAATGCATTTGTTTTTGTCTCAATTCAGAAACAGGATCGGAAATAGTTTTTCATTAAGACAAAATAGATGCAACCTCACTTCTGGGTATTTAAACAAAACAACAACAACAACAACAACAATTAAGTCAGGCTCTCAAAGGGATATTAGCATTCCTATGTTCATTGCAGTACTACTCACAGTAGTCAAGATGTAAAAACAACCTAAATGTCAATAGATAGATGAAGGAATAAAGAAAATGTGGTATACACACACAGTGGGATATTACTCAGCTTTATAAAAGGAAACTCTGCAGTGTGTAACAACATGGATGAACATTGAGGACATTATGCTAAGGGAAATAAGACAGTTACAGAAAGACAAATACTGCATTATTGTACTTATATGATGCATTTAAAATAGTGAAATTCACAGAATCAAATAGTGGAATCGTGGTTACCAGGGACTGTGGGCAGCAGAAAATGTAGAGTTACAAATAACAATGGGCATAAAGTTCCAGTTATGCAAGATGAATAAGCTCTAGAAATTTGCTGTACAACATTGTGACTACAGTCAACAATCGTGGATTATACACCAAAAAATTTGTATGGTAGTAGATCTCATGTTATGTGTTCTTATCACAATTTTTTTTAAAAGACAATATTGTTGTACACAGCTTCATCCCAGGGCTATCTTAACTCCTGCTCTGTTAAAATATACTCCCAAGAGACCTGGATAGCCTGGACTTCCCTCAGAACATCACATCAATCCATTATATCAGTATTATCAGGTGAATCAAGCAGGATGAGCAACACATGGCTAATATACTAGAAATCTGGGTAAGATACATATATGATAGAAGGTGGGAGATAAACTAAAGACTCAGAGACCTGCCACTTAAGTATTTTCATGCTTCCAGTGGCAAGTTTCGGGAAAAGCTTTCTTAATCAGAAATACATGTAAGAATCAAGATATTTCAGTGCCTATTAAGGATACTTCTATAGATGCTAGATACTCAACAATAAATTTTAGCTGGGCAAATGCAAGACGACCATGAAAAGGGGAAAAAAGCAGAAATATGCCATTTATCAGTGCAAAGTAATACAACTAGAATGAAAGTGAAATTGATGCTCGGTAAAGAAGAGGCCTGAAGAGGTTTTGCCCACAATGAAGTATATGGGAAGAGGGAGCCACACATACTAAAAAAACACATTCTCTCCTAGTAATGGAATCTAAAGAGTTGGTTTTTCTGAGAGTCATATATTCTGTAGCTTAGCATTTTCATGTATATATTCAATTTATTGATATCAGTAGGTACATTGCAAAAATATCTGAGATAAGAGGGCCTAGGGAGAATTATGAATATGCTCTTTTTTTTTTTAATATCACAACCTATACATGACTTTATTTGAGACAGTATCTTACTCTGGTGCCCAGGCAGAGTACAGTGGCATGATCACAGTACACTGCAGCCTTGACTTCTCAAGCTCAAACTACTCTCTTGCCTCAGCCTTCCAAGTAGCTGGGACTACAAGTGTGCAAAATCACACCTCATTGATTTTTTATTTAGTTTTAATTTTTTGGGGAAGCAGGGTCTCACTGTGTTGCCCAGGCTCCTTGCCTCAAGCAATCCTCCTGCCTTGGCCTCCCAAAGAGCCACCACACCCAGCCATGCATGACTTCAAATATAGAAAATAATCCAGGTATCTTCAGAACAATGAATTTTGCAGTGGAAGACACTGAGGAGAAAGAGAAAATAAAATTCACCTTAATGTACCTATTTGTTAGTCATATCTTTCATTACGATTTTAGGGAAAACTTAATAAAAGACCTGTTCCTATTTTTTGAAACAAAAAGATTGATCAATACATTTTTCTTTTTGTTCATTGTACTTTTTAACATATAAGCAAAAACATTTTCCTCTATTTTACTATTAATTTATAATGTTTTATTTTACTGCACACTTTTAAATCCATGTTAACCTACTTCATTTTTAAGATTCATAAAACCATGCATCCTTCACTCCATGTAATCTCTGTGATTTAACTTTACGTATTTGCACATCCTAAGTTTGTGGTAAAAGCCGTTTCATGTTATTTTTCCAGAAATAAACATAATATTCCCCAATTTTTCAGTTAAATTCATAAGTATAAATATTTTACCACGTTAACACATTATTATTGATAATATTCATTCTCAATAATTTTCCATTTTATTGTAGAATTGTAGACAGTTGCATAATTGTTTCTTTTTGGCTAAACACTTTCACCAGTGTTGTTCTGTATTTGGCTTTGTTTTCCATGTTTTCTTTTCTTTTAGTAGAGTTAATAATTCTAGGCATCTCTGACAGTTGTTTTTTTAAACATTGAACTTATGCTCCCAAACAATTCTTGACATACTGCTTCTTAGACAGGAGATAGGCTAAAAGTACCAACCTAAAATTCAGTAAAAATACAAACCTAAAATTTGGTTTCAATTTTTGAATCTAGATATAATCAACATTCTCAAACTACATATAAAATAGTGCTACCTTTTTATTACACAGTTAAATATGTTCATAAGGAATGAAAATATCAAAGTATCCTTACAATAGGAGGTTTGCTATTAAGTTCCAAATAAAAAGCAGTGTAAGTATACAAATAATTTATAATAAATCAAAATATCCTGTGATGGTTAATATTGTCAATTTGATTGGATTAAAGGATGCAAAGTATTGTGTCTGGGTGTATCTGGGTGTTTCCGGGTGTTGTGGGAAGAGATTAACATTTGAGTCAGTGGACTGAGAGAGGAAGACCCACCCTCAGGAAGACCCACCCACAATGTGGGTGGGCACCATCCAATCGGCTGCCAGCGCAGCAAGAAAGAGCAGGCAGAAGAAGGTGGAGGAAGCTGACTTGCTGAGTCTTCAGACCTTCATCTTCTCCCATGCTGGTTGCTTTCTACTGTCAAACATCAGACTCCAAGTTCTTCGACTTTTGGACTCTTGGACTTAACACTAGTGGTTTGCCAGAGGCCTCTTTTTTTTCTTTCTTTTTTTAATTTTCTTTTTCTTTTTTTTTTTGTTTGAGACGGAGGCTCACTTCATCACCAGGGTGGAGTGCAGTGGCGCGATCTCAGCTCACTGCGAGCTCCGCCTCCCGGGTTCAAGCGATTCTCCTGCCTGAGCCTCCCGAGTAGCTGGGACTACAGGCGCCATGCCCAGGTAATTTTTGTATTTTTAGTAGAGACAGGGTTTCACCATGTTGGCCAGGATGGTGTCCGTCTCTTGAGCTCGTGATCCGCCTTCCTCGGCCTCCCAAAGTGTGTCAGGGGCTCTTGAGTCTTCAGCCACAAACTGAAGGCTGCACTGCTGGCTTCCCTACTTTTGAGGTTTTGGGACTCAGACTGGCTTCCTTGCTCCTCAGCTTGCAGATGGTCTATTGTGGCACTTCACCTTGTGATCCTATGAGTCAATACCTCTTAATAAACTCCCTTTCATATATACATACATCCTATTAGATTTGCCCCTCTAGAAAACCCTAATACATATTGTGATGTGAAATCACCTATTTGAAATCAGAAAAGGAAAAAAAAGACTCTTTTTCACATTTGAAAGAAGAGTAAGAGAATAATAGTTCACACTTTTTCATTCAGACCTATTGAACCAAGTTTATTGTTTTAATCAGGTAGAAAAGAAATAAAATACAACAAATTAGTGGAATAAATGTGACATCAAAACTTATTTCAGACTTACGTTAAATATAAACATGTCAACAAAGCTCAGTGGATGAGAACTATATCACAAAGGAATAAATGAAGACATGGCTTCAAAAACATTACCTATTTAAGTATCACTATATCTATCTATCTATCTATCTATCTATCTATCTATCTATCTGTCTAATTTTCTCATTCACGCTCTGTGTGTGTGTGTGTGTGTGTGTGTGTATGTGGGTGGTTGTGGGGGAAGTTTCTCTTTCTTCCTACTATTTTCTTACAACTTTTTTCTGCATAGGTAAGTTCTCTCCTATTAGACTCTCCTATTAGACTCCTATTAGACTCTCCTATTAGACTCCTATTAGATCTTCAAGGAGCAAGATCCTAAAGAGAAGAGATAAACTGAGGCTGACACTTAGCTTTATTTTTATTGCCTCAGGATTTTTGCAAAATCCATTTGTATTTTGGGTAGGAGGATGAATTCTAAGCACAAAGGCTCTGAGTAATGGTATAGTTGTTAGATGTCTCTCCAGACTAAGGAAACAAAGCTGCTAATTCAGAAGCTGCCAGGGAGAGGAATCCCAATGAACACATCTGGCCATTAGTTGAAACTTCTAGGCCCTAGAGGGAAGGCAAATAAGAAGAGAGAGATTTAGCAAAATTAGACTCCTTCCTCAACTCACATTGGACCATGACTAGATCATGGCGAGCGGTCCCAGCACCATTTACCTAAACAAAAAAAACTAACCCTTTCTGGAGGAAGAAAATGTTATAGTATTTTATAATTCTTAATGTGCAGTTTCTGGTGTTTAAAGAAATGTTTATGCATTCCGAGAAACAGGAGCATAGGATAGAGAATCAAGAGGAAAAACAAAAAACTAGAACACTCACAGATTTTCCAGATATTAGAGTTAATGGTATAATACTTTAAGTAAATATTATTAATGTTTATGAGTGGATATTTTAGAACTAAAAAATAACTGGTTAAGAAATTAATAAATGTTTTTGATAGCAGATTAGATACAGCCAAAGGCTGTATTTGTGAACTCGAATGTCAGTCAGTAGAGAATATCTAAATGTATCACAGAAAGAAAAAGAAAAAAATTGAATGAAAATATTTTAACTTATTGGTAATCATAGTCCTAGAAGAAAAAAAAAATATTCAGACATAATATTGGAAGAGGTAATAGCCCTAAATTTTTCAAAAGTGATGGAAAAAAAATGAAAATGACATCAAAATCTCTGAGTAATTGAAACAAAATAACCATAAAACTGCATTTGACATATTGTAACACAATTGTTTATGCAAAGGCAAGAAAATAGTTTTAAAACAGAAAGAGAAAATAAAGATAACAACTTTCACAACTTTCTTAACAGAATCAACATAATTCAGCAGCTGATGTTTTGAAAAGTATGATGCATTTCTCAGGCAATTCTCTTAATATGCAGTCAGAAATTCCTGTGTTTACATTTATTCAGGTCTTATATTTACAGCTATATAAGTAAAGCTATGTCAACATTTAATTTTTCTTCTCTTTCCCTGACATTTATTCATTGATTCCCTTATTTTTACTACAGTGGTGCAAAAGTAATTGCGGTTTTTGCCATTACTTTTAATGGCAAAATTTATATATACATATACCAGCATATATTGACCAGCTGTAATCTACATGTATCATGCTAGAAATAGGAACTATAATGATGTGAAAAAAAAAAAGTTTTCCTCTATCATTGTTTCATTGTTTCCATTTTTTGGTCTTTTTAATTTTTTTTAACAATAATAATGGATTTCTTATAATTTTCTTAATTAAGGAAAGGTAATCAGATGAACTTTAAACTAAGGTTATAGCAATATCTATAACAAATTAGTGAAGTTGGTAAAACTAATTACTAAATTGTCATTGAAATTTTGGGACTCTGCTTCAATCAGTCATAGTTATTTTGCTACTTACTACACTAAAATAACTAATTTATAGGTTTGGATTGGCAGGTCACTTAAGGACACCGTCCCAGATTCATACTGTAAGCACGCATAACAATTAAGTTATTTATAACATTTACAGCAATCATAAATAGTTATCTGTGTAAATATTTACTTAAAGACTGTTTTCCCACTATTAGACATTATACTTTGTAAAAATATAGAATAAATAGTAGACTATCTATTAAAGATAAATGAAAGAATAGAATGAAAGGAAGGAGAAAGGAGGAGGGAGGAGAGAAGAGAGGGAGAAAAAGAGAAAGAAATTCATGCAGGTATTGGTCACTTATAATTATAACTCTTCCAAAAGTTTTATGAAGAAGTTCCGATGTTTCAAAAACATTTCTAGGGAGCTACTAAACTTGGTGGAGGATATTCTATGTCCTTTGTAACAAGGAGTGGATTCCATTTTGGGAAGCTGACAACTGACAGATTGTAAGCCTCATCCTTCCCCCTTCCCCTTGTGCACCACATCTAAAAACCTGATAGAAAAGCCTGGTGGTTCTGTTCCTTTTCATCAGGGAGATTCCGAACCATGCAAACTTCTGCCTATATGCAGGGAACCTCACCAAAATGCAGTAAAAACCTTCAGCCAGTCTCCTCTCTCGAGACTTTTAGACCTGCTATGGAGGACTCTCCTGCTTTCCCCAGAAAAGGCTTAACTATGTAAGTAACAGATTTCTTCATGTCCTCTTGGTGTGTGAGTGGTGTCATCAGTCTTGACGCTGAAACCAGATTTTGGGTGGAATTCTATTCTGATTATATTAAGTGAGCAATATACAACATCCCTCTATGTGTATTTTGATTTGAAGTTGTTAATTTACATATCAAAATACATGAGAAATGATGCAAGTTAGAGAATTCGAGCTATTACATAATGAAAAAAAAGATCAAATGCCATGTTAATTTATGTCTCAAAACCAGGCTGTTTTGCACATTTTATGAACTGTTTTTTAATATATATTTTGGCAAAGGAAAAGTTTTTGATTTTGTTGGTAATAGATCTTTTGACTCATTACAGAAATCTATATCAAACTCATAACTATCAAAATGAAATTACTTAATTTCATTTTATACAGTTAAGAAGATTTCACTTTTTAACTGTCATTTGAATTGACAGCATGACATAAAAAAGTAACAAGGAAGGCTATTGGTTCTGGGAGTGTGCTCTTAAAGATATATAAAGTTTACTCCATTGCATTTTTAAATTTTTTATCTACATAAGAGAAATCCTTGGCACATTTTGCCTCTCTAGAGGAAACCAATTTTATTAACGCAGGCTAAATACTAGGAATATTTTTCTTCTGACCTATGTTGTTGTACTCTTCGGATTTGTTGTTTTTAAATTATTTCCATTCTGTATTTAAGAACACCGTTCTGAAGAAGAAAAGTATTAACTGTTGTAATATTTTTGATATAATCCATAATTTTTATATTATTTCACAGAACACATTTTCCCAGATTCTAAAGTATTGCCTCTGCTTGTGTAGAAAAAAAAAATCTTTTTAATCATGAACTATTTGAACTTAATATGTTGGCTTCATTTTCAACACAAATAATCAGAAAGAATTTAATTTTAACTTCCAGATCCCTAAATGCAGATTTTGAATTCTACTATCTTTAACTCCATAATATTCTTCCCCCTGCAGTAACTTTATCACAGTTTTGTTAATTTTCTTATTTAAATTTTGTTTTGTTTTGTTTTTCTTTGTTTTGTTTTAATAGAGTTAGGGTGTGGTTTCACCATGTTGGCCAGGCTTGTCTCCAACTCCTGACAAGTGATCCGCCCACCTCGGCCTCCCAAAGTGTTGGGATTACAGACGTGAGCACTGCGACTTGCCGAAAATGTCTTTTTTTTATTTCAAAGTGTGGTTTGGAAGTCATCCATGTGCAATATATGCTGATAAAAAATAGAGCAAAACTATTTCCCAAAGTATAATAAGTATTTGGCATATCTATTATAAAACAGAAAACATTCTCAACAATAAAAGTACCATCTACTTGTAGGTAAAGAATAAATTATAGTATCTGCTTTCCATCTTTAAGGAACCAAAAGTATCCTCCTAGGCATTGAGCAAAACAAGCCGTTTCTCTTCTCCCCCTCCAGACTTTCTCTGTAGATCCTTTGGCTTAGGTGATCTGTAAGAGAATACCCATCTCTTGTTATGTTTACAATTAGTAAATTTTTGTGAGTGCAAGCAGCATTATTCATGGAAATCTTAATTCAAGGAATCACTTCCTAAATCATACAAATTCATATTCTTCTATCATTATTTATTTTTGTCTTAGTCTATTCCCACTGCTATAATAAAATACAGCAGGCTGAGAAGTTCAAGCTCAACATGTGGGAAGATTCAGTGCCTGGTGAGGGCCCGTTCCTCATTGACAGCACCTTCTTGCTGCATTCTCACATGGAGGAAGGGCAAAAAGGGAATAGCTAGTTACTGCCAGCTTTTTAATATTTATTTGATTTTTTGTTTGTTTTAATTTATTTTTTATTCAATAGGTTTTTGGGGAGCAGGTGGTATTTGATTACATGAATAAGTTCTTTAGTGGTGATTTCTGATATTTTGATGCATCCATCACCCAAGTGGTATACACTGTACCCAATCTGTAGTCTTTTATTCCTCACCCCTCCACCCTTTCATCCAAGTCCCCATTGTATGATTCTTATGCCTTTACGTCCTCATTTCTTAGCTCCCACTTATGAGAACATACAATGTTTGGTTTTTCATTCTTGAGTTACTTCACTTAGAACAGTAGTTCCCAGTTCCATCCAGGTTGCCACAAATGCCATTATTTTGCTCCTTTTTTTGGCTGAGTAGCATTCCATGGTGTGTGTGTGTGTGTGTGTGTGTGTGTGTGTGTCATTTTCTTTACCTACTCATTTATTGATGGGCACATGGGCTGGTTCCATACTTTTGCAATTGCAAATTGTGCTGCTATAAACATGCATGTGCAAGTATCTGTTTTGTAATGACTTATTTTCCTCTGGGAAGATGCCTAGTAGAGGAATTGCTGGATCAAATGGTAGATCTACTTTTAGTTCTTTAAGGAATTTCCACACTGATTTCCATAGTGGTTACACTAGTTTACATTCCCACCAACAATGTAAAGTGTTCTCTTTTCACCACATCCATGCTAACATCTATTTTTTTTTTATTTTTTGATTATGGCCATTCTTGCAGGAGTAAGTTGGTATTGCATTGTGGGTTTGATTTGCATTTTTCCATGATAATTAGTGATGCTGAGCATTTTTCCTTATGTTTCTTGGCCATTTGTATATCTTCTCTTGAGAATTGTCTATTCATGTCCTTAGCCCCTTTTTGATGTGATTGTTTTTTTCTTGCTGATTTGAGTTCTTTGTAGATTCTGAATATTAGTGTTTTTTGGATATATGGATTGTGAAGATTTTCTTCTATGCTATAGGTTGTCTGTTAACTCTGCTGATTATTTATTTTGCTGTGCAGAAGCTTTTTAGTTTAAAGTCCCATTTATTTATCTTTGTTTTTGTTGCATTTGCTTTTGCGTCCTTGGTTGTGAAGTCTTTGCCTAAGCCAATGTCTGGAAAGGTTTTTTCAGGTGTTATCTTCTAGAATGTTTATAGTTTCAGGTCTTAGCTTTTAGTCTTTGATCCATCTTGAATTGATTTTTCTGTAAGGTGAGAGAACAGGGTTCATTTTTATTCTTCTATGTGTAGCTTGCCACTTATCCGATTATCATTTATAGAATAGGGTTTATTTTCCTCACATTAAGTTTCTGTTTACTTTGTCGAAGATCATTTGGCTGTAAGTATTTGGCTTTATTTCAGGGTTCTCTATTCTGTTCCATTGGTCTATGTGCTTATTTTTATACCAATACCATGCAGCTTTGGTGACTATGGCCTTATAGTATAGTGTGAATTCAGTTGGATAATGTGATGCCTCCAGATTTGTACTTTTTGCTTAGTCTTGCTTTGGGTATGTGGGCTCTTTTTGTTGCATATGAATTTCAGGATTGTTTTATCTAATGCTGTGAAGAATGATGGTGGTATTTTGATGTGAATTGCATTTAATTTGTAGATTGTTTTTGGAATTATAGTAATTTTCACAATATTGATTCTACTCATCCGTGAGCATGGGATGAGGAACATAGATACAAAAACCTTCAACAAAACACTAGCAAACCAAATCCAATAGCATGTCAAGAAGATAATCCACCATGATCAAGTGGGTTTCACACCAGTGATGGAGAGATGACTTAACATCTCCAAGTCAATAAATGTGATACACCACATAAACAGAATTTAAAACAAAAATCTCATGATCATCTCAATAGATGCAGAGAAAGCATTTGACAAAATCCAGCATCCCTTTGTTATTAAAACCCTCTGCAAAATTGGCATAAAAGGAACACACCTTAAGGTAATAAAAACTATCTGTTACAACCCCATAGCCAACATTATACTGAATGGGGAAAAGCTGAAAGTATTCCCCCTGAAAACTGGTATGAGACAAGAATGCCCACTTTAACCTCTTCTATTCGATATAGTACTGGAAGTCCTAGCCAGAGCAGTCAGACAAGAGAAAGAAATAAAGGACATCCAAAATTGTTAAAGAAGAAGTCACTGTCACTGTTTGCTGATGATATGACTGTATATCTAGAAAACCCTAAAGATTCCTCCAAAAAGCTCCTAGAACTGGTAAACAAATTCATCAAAGTTTCAGGATACAAAATTAATTCAGACAAGAGAAAGAAATAAAGGCCGTCCAAATTGTTAAAAACTCAAACTGTCACTGTTTGCTGATGATATGACTGTATACCTAGAAAACCCTAAAGACTCCTCCAAAAAGCTCCTAGAACTGGTAAACAAATTCATCAAAGTTTCAGTATACAAAATTAATGTACACAAATCCATAGCTCTGCTATACACCAACAGCAACCAAGCTGAGAATCAAATCAAGAAATCAACCTGCTTTACAGTAGATGCAAAATAAAATAAAATACTTGGGGATATACCTAACCAAGGATGTGAGAGACCTCTACAAGGAAAACTACAAAACACTGCTGAAAGAAATAGACAACACAAACAAATGGAAACACATACCACCAGCTTTTTTTATAAAGGCATTAGTCTTACTCACCAGAGCAGAACCTTCATGATTTAATCCCCTCTCAAAGGACCCACCTTCCAATACCATCACCTTGGGGTTTAAGTTCCAGCATATGAATTTTGGAGGGACACATGCATTTCAAACTATACCACTTCTGTAATTTAAAAAATACTTAATTAGCACCTGACATGTTTTGTGAATTTTGAAGAAGGCTGTGAGAACATAGGATAAAGGCCATCTAAGTCTTCTTGGGAAAAGAAGTTTAAAAGGTTTAAAAAAAAAAAGGGAGGCTGGATTTGATTTGAAGCATAAATGTCATCACCACTTCCCTTTTCAATACCACATCCTATCTACAGTAAGGGAATGGAAATACTCAGAACAAAGAAAACATCATAGACCAAGTAGGTAATTGTATTAAATGCTGTAGAAATATGAAGTAGAAGAAACCCTAGGCAACTAGAATTTCACTGGCAGAGCTTAGGAAATATCAAAATAATTTGTTTTAGTTGGTAATAGTGATAACGTATTAGGCCATGCTTGCATTGCCATAAAGAAATATCTGAGACTGGGTAATTTATAAATAAAAGAGGTTGAATTGGCTCATGGCTCTGCAGGCTGAACAGGAAACATGGTGCTGGCATCTGCTTGACTTCTGGTGAGGCCTCAGGAAGCTTTTACTCATGGTGGAAGGTGAAGTGGGAGCTTGCACATATCATGCAAGACTAGGAGCAAGAGGGAGGGGAGGGAGGTACCACATACCTTTAAACAAACAGATCTTGTGAGAACTCACTCACTGTCGAGAGGACAGCACCAAGCCATGAGAAATTTGCCTCAATCACCCAAACACCTCCCATTAGGGCCCACCCACAACACTGGGGATCTTATTTCAACATGAGATTTGGCTGGGACAAATATCTAAAACATATTAAATAATATAAATGAAACAAGATATATGCAGCTTATATTAAAGCGTATACTATGTTTTATAGACATTTTTTGCACTTAAGTTTCAGAAAAGTATAATATCAAAATGAATAGATGGAAGAGGAAACTCAAAGGTATCATAATTTAAGACTCATTTCCCTACATCTTTCATTTTCATTTGCATTTGCTGCTGCCATGTGATAGGAAAACAGACTCAAATAACATTGAGTGAATGTTTATAAGAAACTCACATCCCAGTTATTTGAAACACATGTGTAATGCTACATAGGTATACTAATCATTCTATTTAAGGTATATGTAAGTTGTTTGTTATATTTCATTTACTGTTCTAATCACTTTTATATATAAATTTTTATTACGTTCTATAAGGTATGAAGTATTGGTAAGATCTAGCATTTTCTCTGTATTACAATTGAAAACATATAAGATAAACAAAAATTGGGTAAAATGCCAGATTTACAGGCAGTATTCTATAGAACTTGGAGTTGGAAATTATGTAATTTGATTACAGATAAGACACCTGACCACTAAACTCTACTTTCTTGGAATAATAAGAAAACTGTAACAACATGAATAAGAAAGAAATTAATTTTGATGAGACATCACATCATTTTGTGAAACAATCTAAAAAATTGTTTCACAAATGTAGTGACATTCAAAATAAAGCACGAATATTTAAACTTTGTGAGGCTATTTCTGTCATTTAGACATGTATTTATCCTGGTATCTCACGTGCCTGTGCCATAATCTGTGTTAGATAAGATATTAGTAAGTCAGAGTTATTGTTCAGCATGAGCTTATATTAATGTAGGAGGAGGCAGTCATATAGACAAATAAATAAAATTTAAAAATTCCTGTTTTTCTGATATAAAGAGAGAAGGTGCTAACCATTTACACTTGCCACAGCTACTACTATAAATTTGTAAGACAGGTTTTCCCAAATGACCTTTCAGGGAAATAAATATTATGGAGAATAAATGATTATTAGGGTTCTAGTTCTGAACTCTTACAGAGTCTTTCCTAATAATCAATTTGGCTGATCCAGTCCTGAAATGCAAGAACAATTTATATTAATCTAGCTGAAGGCAAAGCTCTTAATGAGTTTGAGTAACCTGTTATGGGCCCTTTTCTCTTAGATGTTTCCTCTTAATTTCCTAAATGACACAAGAGCAACTTCTCCTAATTCGGAGACTTATTTTACCAGATTAACTGTATGAATACATCTGAAACACAATCTTAAAAGCAATATAGAAAGGAAAAATCAAATATTCAGTGTATTTATAAATAAATATATTTGATTAAAGTATTACATGTACCTTATTTTTAAAAGTCAAATAGTACCATAAAGCTTATAATAAAAAATACAGTCAGTTTTTTACCCCTATCTTGTACTATTTATTATTCCCAAAGGAAAAACACTTTAACATTGAAAGAAAGTTTACATCAATATGTTAATTTTCCAATGGCAGATATGACCTGTTTAGTTCCTGCTATGAAGGATGTGTAAATATCATTCTTTTATCACCTAATTTTATCATCATGCTAATTTTCTAACACCCACAATTCATTAGAAAAATTCATATAGAGTCCACCTTAATTTAGTTCATAAGACTTCTTACAAGTTTAATGAAATAAATGGTCTTTTATGGAGATACTAAAAATAAACATTATAATAAAATTGCTTCTGACATAGCTGCAAACATGTTTTGGAAAATAATGGTTCACTCCAGTAACCAATATCTGGTATAGCATCTTACATGATTACAGGGATATTTCCTTCTAGAAATAAGTATCAGAAAAATGTCTTTCTGTCTGATAAAATGAATTATTTATACCCTCACACTGCCTTTTTATTTTACTCTTACAGGAATCCTATAGACAAATGCAGCATTCAGTCTACACACATGTACATACTCATATATAATAAGGTTCCTGGAATAATTTTTTTGAAAAGTAAGGAGCTGTAAATAAATGGAAGGGCAAATAACTGATAAGGGATATACAAATAAAAATGCAATCTAAATTCTTATCCTTACTTTATTCTGCCTTGTGTTATAACTGCTTATATTAGGCCTTTTCGTTTCCATAGTTTGAGCTATTTTGGTACCTCAATCATACCTAAATCATTGTTCTTACCATGGTGCCAGGAATACTGTATTATATAACGTAGATTCTCAATAAATATTTATTGAAGTGTCATGCATAATTGTTATTTCCCTAGACTTCTCCAAATCTAAAATTGTATATTCAATTATTCTGAATATAAATCTTTTTACAATCATCTCTCCAAAGGAAATGTCCAAGCAACAACACCATTCTCAATAGTTGCAAACTTATTGTGACAGAAAAATATAAGGCTATAGTATTAAAAGACTAAATAATTTAAGAAACAGCCTAAGTCCATTCAATGCAGCTTTACTGTCTGCATACACAGGAGTTGTAAGTTATATAAGTAAATCTTTGAATTTTCAAATAGCACTGCCCTAGATGTGATTTCCAGTTGTGTAGATGCCAAGCCTGTATCCATCTCCAACAGAAGCCCAGCACACTTAAATCTATGCATGGTTATGACTGAAAGGGAATTGCTTTCAAGACATTTTTCAGCAATTCAGTAGCTACCAAAAGATTCTACTGCCCAGCAGGAAATGATGGCCTTCAGAGTTATAACCCCCTTCAAATGACTATAACAAGAGTTCTAAAGGGTTTTTCTCACTATGTTACTATGCACTATGTCTCATTAGGCTACCTACGGTGCAGTAGTTACAGAAAGACTTGACAGATCTAAAATGTCACTACAATCAGTTTTACCAAGTGCTGTCACCCATGCTTAGTCTGCTTTTAGTTTTGTGGAAGGAAATGTGGAAAGGCCATAAAGGTCTTTCTTAATGGGAACAAGCAATTTGGTCTCAGCTCTAAACTAAGGACTTTGTTAAGCTCTGTGAGCATCTTGACAGAAATTCTCCCTGGTGAACAAAGTATTTATTAAGATAAAGGTCATCCTATTGCCATGCATCCACCTGCTCAATAGTACATGTGAAATGTATCTATTCATCTAGCTCTTTCTTTGGATAGGTATGTGTATAGAAAAACATAAATATGAAAATAGGCAGATATATCAGGCAGGTGGAAGGCAGAATATTAATACAGAAATTTGTGCAATACATTTGTGGACAATTCCCCATGCTAATACTAAACCCCAGAATTCAATCCCAGGTTGAATTATTCTACCATAAATGGGCTGTGTTATGTTCTACAAGTTTGCCTCTGTGGAAACTGCTCCTGTAAAATTGAAGGCAGAGTCGGAACAGAATATTCACTACCTGTGGAAAATTCAGTTCAGGAGACAGGAAAGCGAAAGGTTCCTGTAAGCATGCACACTTTTTCCTTGCAAATTGACCAAATGACTGTCACCCTGGAAAGAATGGAGTAAGGGTTTAGAGAAAGGCAAGGAGTTTTGTTGCCAGAGAATCTCCTTTCCTATTTCAGAACAAACACATTCAAGAATAGAAAAAAAAAGTACCCAACTAAAATGGGCTGTTTTGTTGTTTTTAGAACTTCAAGAGACTAACAAAATCACTGTGTTCTTTCATGCAGATGTGTTTAACAAAGAGAGAGATAGCATTAACTCTGTACCAGACATTAATTTAGGTGGTATACAAACGCTGATTAACTTTATCATTACAACAACCATGGGTTGAATGCACTAAATATAAGGCAACTGAGGCACAAAGTGGTTAAATACTTTGCCCATCATCACACAGATAGCTAACAGCAAAGGCTGGATTCAAACCTAAAATGTGTATCTCTGGCAACCTTGCTCTAAACATGGTGCTTCCTCTCCACTGATAGTTTATTTTTGTCTTTGACTAGTCATTAATCATAGGCAAATTTCACAAGAAGATGGTTACTCTTTACATAGAATTAGTCTGGATATCTGCTCTCTTCAATGTAAAATTCATAATAAACTTTAGGTTCATGCAATATCAACTGAATTTATTAAGAACAGAACCAAAGCAATATTTATTTTCAAAGAAGAAAGTGTAAATGTAGAGAATATAAATTTACACTCTGATAATGAATCTGGATGGATCCTTATCAATACATATCAGATATCCTGTCTGTAAGCTTGGTTAATACCAAGACATAGTAGCTGCTCAAAGGATGTAAGAAATGAATGAACTATAGCTTCATAATAAAACTTTCTCATACCTTTGACATTTATTAACCATCTACTGTTTGGTTAAGTGGACTATATACATTATCTGCTGTCCTATCTATAACATTGCAAATTATATGCCATTACTGATATGTTGCACAGGAAAAAAAAGTAGAAACTCTTAAGATGTTATATAACTTGGCCATGATCACATAGCGATTAAGTGACAGAGCTGTAATACAAATCTAGCTCCATCCATCTCTGCCCTTTGGAGTTAGTTTAGAGGGAGTACTTTTTCTCTGAGTGCCTTTTACAAGAAAACCCATGGGTTCAATGTGAACTTCACCTGGATTATCTCAGGACAAGTTTGATTTTTATTCCTATTATAATTTAATAAGTGGGGAATAGTTAAAATCCTATATTATTTCTTTTTCCTATAATAATTATCATGCATTACACCGGAGACTTTTTCAGAGGGATAATACTACATTTTCTTCTTCAGCTAAACACAATCATGATAGTTTAATTTTAGAATAAGTTAAGACAAGCAAAGCCTTCCCACGTAGCCTACTTCCCAAATAAAGTTACCAAATTACTTGTTGAAGTTGCTTAAATCTGATTGAAGCTTAGTATTCCAGTTTACATGCTGTGAACAGTTCAGAGACTTAACTGTAGAATGTATAACCACTTTAAAACCTGGAGCCTTTTTTCAGGCTTCCTTATAGATCGTCCCATGGGAGATAACCAACTAGTCATGTTTGAGTTTCAAGCTTTATTTAGAATGGACGGATTCATCCACTAAATTGTGCAAGGGATTAAGAGATACCCTTTGTTGTTTCTTTTGACATGTTTCAGTCAAGTATATAGAAAGCAACTTGTAAGAGAGAACTCTCACCCACTGTGATACATTGAGGAGCCAGAACACTGTGAAGCTGCTTAAATTTTATCTATTTTTCTTTAGCCCACACTGCTTTCTAAGAAGAAATCCCTTACTTTTCTGTTTGCCTGTGAAGGAAACCACTGTGCTGAGTTGAAATTTCATTTGAAAATTCTTGGAACAATTTGTTTTTATTGTTCAGTTACAGGTTTCAAGAGAACTCAAGATGTCATGTTTGAAATATAAAATGAGCTAAAAGCAGGAGTACTTCTACTTCAGCATATTCCCTAATCTCATGTCTTCATGGACATGCTTATCTGGAATGGATCACGTTTGGGTTAGGAATTTAGAACTTTCAAGATAGTCCTTTAACACTTTACCTGTTAAAGTACAATTGATTTTTCTTTAAGAATAGCAATATACTGATCCAAATAATGTGGAATAAATAATGCCATATATTTCATCCATTTTCTGTTTGAGTTCATTTACATTTTAATATCTTAGCAGAATAATCCTACCTTCTGATAATTGATATTTAATTTAATTGTCTTCCTATGGTGATCACTATACTATTTAAGAATTTTTTTTCTGTCTCCAAGAATGTTGTCTTATAATTGCTAAATGTGCTTCAATAGTTTTAATGTTTTTTAATATGATAATCTTTCTGCTTTTATCTATCTAGAAATAAATACATTTTGAAATTCTTTCATGAGATGCACTCTTTTATATACTGTCTTATAATCAAATTTTGGAATTCCTTTTCCTCTTTAATCTTTGTACCTATGATATGATAATTCTGTCATTATTATTTAATTATTTTAATCTCTGAGACAAATGCATTTTTTAGCATTTATGACATAACCTTAACCAAATAAATGTTTATAGAAATCATATTAACATGTTAATACTCCCAAATGATTCATAATTAAACATCTCTTGTGTTTAACCATCATTCACACTATAATAAATATAATAATGTCTTTGGAGTCAGATTCTTTTTCAAGTCAGGAAAGTCAAGACAGGCTGGATCTGGTGGAGAATCACAAAGCTAGACATAAATGTAGAATCAAATCCTAAATCCACATCTACTTATTGCATGATCTCGCATTAAAATGTAACCTCAACAGCTGGGCACTGTGGTGAATGCCTATAATCCCAGCTACTCAAAAGGTTGAGGTGGAAGGATGACTTGAGCCCAGGAGTGTGAGACCAGCCTGGGCATCAAAGTAGGACACCATCAAAAAAAAAAAGTAACCTCAGTTTCTTTATTTTTCAAATGAGAATAATAGTACATAATTTCAGAGGAGGATAATATATGGGTTTTGTGTCCTTTACAGTGCTTTATCTGCTCAGATTTACACAAATATTTATTAATAAATGAGTTCAGGACTAAAATAAAAGACTAAAATCTCCTAGGCTTACATAATATATTCTGGAGTCATTTGTAAATGAAGAATAAAAGGAAAATATGAAATTTTGTTTGAGATACCCTAATACAGAGAAAGAAGCATCAGTTTACATTTGATTTTCATTTAAAAACAGTAAGTGTTCTTATTGTTAAATAATCAGATCACATCCATTCCTGCTTTTAATAGTGTTAAACTGTACTTTGGTGATTCCTCCCTGCTTTTCTTCTTTCCTCTTTCCTTTCTCTTTTCTCCCTCCCCCCATTCCCTTTCTTCCTCGCTTCTATTTCTCATATATAAATTTATCATTTCGTTTTTTCAACCTACAATATTATTTTTCACCCACATGAGCAAGCCATTTTTTTTCCTATGCCTGGGGAGGCAAACAGTAAAGGAAAGAGATCCTGACCTCAGAATTCTCAATCTAATAATACATGATCTGAACAGAGTGATGAGGTGGGGTTGGGACAAGTGTAGAGAAAATAAGCTAATATTTATCGAAGAATTTCAGAGTGCTGCCTGAGCTTTGCATAGTTTTAAATATTTTTTCCAGATGTTACACCCCCCCAAAACATTTTATATTTTATATATTAGAATTGGGAGTTAATGTTTAAAAAGTTGTGATTCCTCAGTGAGTGGCAAAACTAGGGTGTAAAAACAAATCTAGCCTTCTCTAAGACACACTATTTTACTACAAATTAGTATCAAATTAATATTTTAATGTCAATCATTATTTCCTCTCTCTTTATTTACATAAGTTCCACAGCAAAATTAAAATTCACAGAATGTGCTTTTCTGCATATTGCAATGTTGTTCCAGTTATAGTAAATGATACTAGAATAAGTCATTTGAAAATTTCAGCACCTTGACAAGCTGCCTGGGAAATCAGATGCATTTCTATAGCCTTCAAAGTGTAATAACAAAGGGGAATATGCAAATATTGGGAAAAAAAGGGTAAAACAGAACTGTTGGAAATTTTGAAGACACTCACAGTGGTCTTCAAAATGGAAAAATAAAGAAGCTAGGGTAGTTGATAGTCTCATGTTATATAATATTTTATTTATTTTTACTATTGCAGCCTTCAGGCCAAAAGTAGACTATTACAATTAGTAGTAACAAAAGTAGACTTTAGTTACAATTTCCATTCTCATCGACTACACATGTAACTCTCTCCCACCATTGAACTCTGCCACCCGAGTTCAAGCAATTCTCATGTCTCAGGCTCCCACGAAGCTGGAATTACAGTCATGTGCCACCACGCCTGGCTAATTTTTGTATTTTTAGTAGAGATGGGGTTTCGCCATGTTGGCCAGGATGATTTCAAATTCCCATCTCAACAGAAAAGAACCATTTTTAATGTTCAGCCAGGCAGAGATCTTATGAATTCAAGGACAGATCCAATTTGTTTGGCCTTCAAGGTCTTTGTTGTGAGACAGGGGCAGAAAAGAAGCCTCTTGAAAAAGACCACGACCACTTCAAGATTTAGGTTCTTGTGAATGGTACATGTTACACTTCCAAAGAGACAAAAAATAACAAAGCTGTAGAGGGCTTGTTTATTTTTTTAATGTAATCTTTTTTTTCTTTTTTGAGACGATGTCTCTCTCTGTTGCCCCGGCTGGAGTGTGGTGGCACGATCTCAGCTTGAATTGATCTCCGATTTCTTGAACTCTGCCACTGGAGTTCAAGCAATTCTAATGTCTCAGACTCCAATGAAGCTGGAATTACAGGTATGCGCCAACACGCCTGGCTAATTTTTGCATTTTTAGTAGAAATGGGGTTTTGCCATGTTGGCCAGGCTGATCTCAAATTCCAATCTCAAGTGATCTGCCTGCCTTGGCCTCCCAAACTGCTGGGATTACAGGTGTGAGCTACCACATCAGGCCAATGTGTTCCTTTTCTTTTGATATATATTATTAATCTATTGAAAGTTCATCATCTTTTGACCTCTTCCTGGTTTTTGAAATTGGTCTCATACATTATGCCCCAGCTGACCCATACTTAACCTACATAATATTTTTGTGTTATTTTAGTCTACCAAGCAGGATAGGGACTCACTACACAATCAGAAGGATGATATTTACAATGTATACATTACTATAATTTACAGCTTCTTGCCATAAACAAACAAACATAAACAAAGACTTTGGTACAGCATGCAATTCCCTTCACAATCCTTCCTGGGTTCCTAAGCTTTGTCACTTCCTAATGTTTACATTCAAGCACCAAGTCATAGCTCTTGGGTCTTCCCTAACCTTAAAATTCAATTTATCCCTACCTTCTCTACCCATCTGAGCACTACTCATACACGGTGGAACAGGATAGCTATCATTGCCTTCATAAAATATTAACTGAAACACACACATGCACATATTTTTGTGTCTGTGTTAATTACCTAATTATACATTTCCTGATCTCAGCAAAATGTGTTATTGTACTTTGCACAAAATAGGCATTTATGAAACAGTGAATATTGTTTTGTCATAGTTTATATTTGAAAATTCACTTTGCGCTTTTACAACAAGAGGACCAGGATTTTACATTATCCAGAGCCTCACATATTTCTTAGTGTATATAAGCCTTGACTAATATTTGATGATCTAGAAAAAAAACAAATACCCTTTCTATATAGTTATGAAAATGTCTGTCTCTAGCAAAAGACCTTAAACTTTCTTAAATTGCAGGCAGTCTTTTTCATCAGTTTTCATAACCTTATCATCCATAAGAGCTTAGACTCTCAATAAAAGTTGATTGGATTGAATTGAATTTGCTGCCAAATTCCCTTAAATATCATTTACCATACACCCACAGGATACTTAGCCTTCCACTAGAAGTTGATCTTATTTAAATCCTTTTCACCACATAAACCCATTTTTAAAAAAGTGCTGATGATGTGACTTCTATTGAGATAAATAAATGCTGCATAATACAGTCCTCATTGGATACATGGCTTTCAATAGGCATCTGGAAAACTTCCCAAATTAAACAAAAGTTGTGATTTTTCCTTATTGTTCAGCACAATGAAAATACTAAAGAGATGTGATAAAAATTATTAGCAATAAGTTTTTTTAACATTTATATTTATATTATAGTAATTACTGAAATATGTAATTCGCCATGACAGAGCTATTCAAATTAAAAAGTCAGTTAACTTGGAGAGTGTGAAAACAGGATTCATAAGAAAACAAAATGTAGGCCAGAGAAATATCACATGGCTTCTCTGTGACTGATGTTTTATTGCATAGCCCCTTGTTTTTGTATTTTCTGTCATGGATAAGTAGAGTTCAATGTCAAAAACAATACAAGTAATTCAGGTAGTGCCTTCTCAAGTTCTGTCGTGTCTTTAAATATCCAATACCCCAATTCCATTTTCCTGAATACAGGATGATCTGACTTATCAAATTGCTATTGATTATTTTTGAGAGAATAATGTCTTAGAATACGGGTTGACATTTTTATCCTAATTCATATTTAGCCAGACATAATCAACATAAATGTTCTGTTGAGAGGTAATTTTTATTTTTTTGACAAATCAAATTTATACATTCATTTGTTTTAGTGCTTTCATTTATTTTCTAATGTTACATAGGAAACTAAAATTTTTTCTAAAGATCATAAAAATTTGAACCTCCTCCGCTTATTGAAAGTATACTAAATGTGTGTTGAATTTTAGAGAGATTATTGTTTATTTATTTGTTTGTTTGTTTATTTTTGTAGGGATGGGATCTCTCTCTGTGTTGCTCAGGCTGATCTCAAACTCTTGGCCTCAAACAATCCTCCCACTTTAGCCTTCCAAAACGCTAAGATTACAGATGTGAGCCACCGCATGTGGCCTAGAGAGATTATATTTTAATCTTTTCTACTTAACATTTAAATTATGTAGGAATATATGTTGTGTTTATTATCTTCCTTAGGAAAAAATACAATGCATATAAATAAATGACAAGATTTGTTATAAGGAAGCATACTAGTAAAACAATAAAACTTTATACTGGCCAGAAAGCTCTACCCATACAAATGTTTTGAAATCTGATGGTTATAAATTTGCCTTCATAAGCCAGGCAAGCAAATGAGATAAGAATAATCATATCCTTACACACTTAACTTGTACTTTTTGCTCAGGAGCAAATGAATGAAAAAGAAGCATTATGGGGTAAATCAGTATAAATAGCAATTACGAGCATGTACTCCAGAGCCAGTTTTCAGGGTTCCAGTTGTAGGTTAGACACCAATAGTTATCTGGCAGTGACTCAGGTTTTTACTTTTTGCTTTCTCAGTTTCTTCAGTTATAACATGAGGATAAACATATTTTCTATTCCTGAAAATTGGTAGATGTCATATAAGCAACACACTTAGAACGCAACCTACTCAGTAAACACTCTACAAGCTTTTGCTCTTATGATTCTTTCATAGTAAACTTAGTGGTAATAAATGAATGAAGAATGTCTCATGGTTCTGATGAAAATAGAATTTGAGATGGGGCACTGTAAAACGAGAATTCTGCTCCTGACTTGATGTTGCTGCATGGTATATGTTCCTTCTGTTACTGATTTAGGATCCAAATATATCCCGACTTTTTTTCAGCACAAATAGCTTTAGTAGAGAACTAAGATAGCAAAGTCTTGCTTTAATAAGAAGTGGTTAGTGTTATCTCCAACCATAACCATATAAGAGAAACAAATCATAAGAAAAGGCTTTTATTCTTTGGTACTGGGGTATAAGTTTGAACAAAGCATTTGAGCCAATTATTTATGTTACACCTTTCTTCTTTATTCACCACATTATAATCCAGTTAGCTCATTTGAGTGTATTATTGATGATTGGTACACACTAGCTTACTTTCTTATAAATTAAAACATGATCCAATCTAAAAAGGAATTATTTTCGTTTTCCCCCTGAGGAAACTCCCCACAAATAATGTGTTAAGAGAGACCACGTATTTTTTTTTTTTTTCAGTGGGGGGATGGAGTCTCGCTCTCTCGCCCAGGCTGGAGCACAGTGGTGTGATCTCAGCTCACTGCAACCTCTGCCTCCCGGGTTCAAGCAATTCTCCTGCCTCAGCCTCCCGAGTAGCTGGGATTACAGGTGCCCGCCACTACGCCCAGCTAATTTTTTGTATTTTTAGTAGAGATGGGGTTTTGCCATGTTGGCCAGGCTGGTCTCGAACACCTGACCTCGTGATTTGCCCGCCTCGGCCTCCCAAATTGCTGGGATTACAGGCATAAGCCACCGCACCCGGCCAAGAGAGACCATGTATTATTGTAGGGAATTGCAAATTTTCAACTCACCCTAATGTTCTTAGTTTCACTTCGTATGAAAAAGTACATTTTAAAAGAACATTTAAATTATGAATGGGAGTAAATATTTTCCAGTGTTATATACATGCTGATGATAAAAAATTTCTAAAAATGTAAATTTTAGAATTTTATTCTGTAATCTTTAATGTTATAATTTATTTTTTATTTATTTTATTTGTTTTTTTGAGACATGATCTCACTCTCTCACCCAGGCTGGAGAGCAGCAGCCTGATCTTGGCTCACTGCAACCTCCACCTCTGGGTTCAAGCAATTCTCCTGCATCACCCTTCTGAGTAGCTGGGATTACAGGTACCCGCCACTATGCCCAGCTGATTTTTGTATTTTTAGTAGAGATGGGCTTCACCATGTTGTCCAGGCTGGTCTTGAATTCCTGACCTCAAGTGATCCACCTGCCTCTGCCTTCAAAAGTGTTGGGATTGCAGGCGTGAGCCACCGTGCCAGGCCTAATGTTGTAATTTAAATGGTCACATGGAAACAGGTAACTTTCTGTATTCAAACCCCAGACTGAAAGTTTCCTCAGATGAGATAAATGATATACTTCCAATGTAAATAAATTTATGATAAGTAAATTTAGAGCAGTCAGGTAAATTAACAGTAAACTAAATTTTAAATTAAAAAGGCTAAATTATTTTGCTGACAATCAGAAGAGCAGTGTGTTATACATGCAGGCTGTGCTTGACATTCATATTCTACAATATAGCACTGTCTTAACAACAGACAATACAGGATTAAAAACAATGGCAACAACACTGGAAGAACAGTAAATATGACATCCCCAGTAGAAATTTCAGATCAATCTACCATCAATGGATACAAAATAAATTAGATAGAAGGAATAAAATCTAGTATTTCGTAGCACAATATGATGACTGTATTTAACAATAATTTAATGTGTATTTTAAAATAGCTAAAAAAGTGAAATTGGAATGTTCCTAAACAAAGAAATGATAAATGCTTTAAGTGATGAATATCTCAGACTGATTTGATCATTACACATTGTATGCTTGTATCAAAATATCACATATACCTCTGCATAAGTACAACTATTATATATCCATAAAAACTAAAAATTAAGAAAGACAACAAAGTTAAAGATTATTCCACTATATCAAATCCAGCATTATCTTGATTGTAAGACTCGTGCCATTTTCAACGAAAAAAAAAATTTGAAAAAAGAAATTTGCCCTTGGGGATTAGAAGATTCTTAATCTCTGAGATATGTTAAAATATGAAAAAGACATTATTAAAATCCATATGTATGGTATTTTTAAAAATAAACTTTAAAAGTATTGCTGTGTTAGTTTCTGGAATGAGGATTTCAATGGACATCATGATATACTAATTTAATAGTATTACCAATTATTATAAGTTATTATACTTTGTTTTATATCATGTATAGCAAGGTCCCCAACCCCTGGGCCATGGACCAGTGCTGGTCCATGTCCTGTTGGGAACCAGGCCACACAGCAGGAGGTGAGCGGTGGGGGAACAAGTGAAGCTTCATCTCTGTTCAGAGCTGCTCCCTATCACTCACATTACCGCCTGACCTCCACCTCCTACCAGATCAGTGGTAGCATTAGATTCTCATAGGAGCACAAACACTATTGTGAACTACACTTGGGAGGGATCTAGGTTGCGTGCTCCTTATGAGAATCTAATGCCTGATGATTTGCACTGTCTCCCATTACACCCCAATGGGACCATCTAGTTTGCAGGAAATCAAGCTCAGGGCTTTCACAGGTTCTACATTATGGTGAGTTGTAAAATATTACAATGTAATAGTAGAAATAAAGGGCACAATAAATGTAATGTGCATGAATCATCCCGTAACCATCTCCCCAACACCAGTCTGTGGAAAAATTGTCTTCCATGAAACTGGTCCCTGTTGCCAAAAAGGTCAGGCACCACTAATGTATATTCTCTGAGAAACATATGTGAAATCTAATTTTAGTAGTAAAGTGAGATAAAAATTCTGAGTTTCACACATACACAAACACATACTACATACATTTATAAATTTATTTATAAATTCAGAAATTTATAAATGTCTATATGAATTTTATTAAAGGAATTTTTTTCACTAAATACTTACCTGTTCACTCTAGGGAATAAACAAAATGGAAATTGATGAGGCTGGGTTTAGAGTATTTCTCCATGGTGGAAACATAGGGAATTTTGCTTTAATGGTGTGAAGGACCTGTTTGGGACAATATGTTGGACCTAAAATCCCCATGAAACCTGAAACTCTTGAAGGACTGTGTAATATTTAACATGGTGAGCTAGAAGAACAAATTAATATGTGAAATAAAGATAACTGCATGAAAAATCATCTTTTTTGTCCTCATACACAAAATATCAAAAGAACCTCCTGCCGAGAGAGAGAATATTAAACAGAAAAGAGAAGGAAAAATGCAAGGAAAAAAATAAAGAATATAACCACAACCCCATTCATACTCAGTAATTTGTGAGTTTAGTTACACCAGCTATGTGTTCTTGTTATTTTACACTCAAATTAAATCAAATTAATTTTTTCTTCTTTTTTTATTATACTTTAAGTTATGGAATACGTGTCCAGAACGTACAGGTTTATTACATAGGTATATATTTACCATGGTGGTTTGCTGCACCCATCAACGTGTGATCGACATTAGGTATTTCTCCTAATGCTATCCCTTCCCTTGTGCCCTACTCCCCAACAGGAACTGTAGTGTGTTATTCCCCTCCCTGTGTCCATACATTCTCATTGTTCAACTCCCATTTATTAGTGAGAACATGCGGTGTTTCCTTTTCTCTTCCTGTGTTAGCCTGCTGCGAATGATGGTTTCCAGCTTCATCCATGTTCCTGCAAAGGACATGAACTCATTCTTTTTTTATGGCTGCATAGTATTCCATGGGGTATATGTGCCACATTTTCTTTATCCAGTCTAACATTGACGGGCATTTGGGTTGGTTCCAAGTCTTTGCTCTTGTGAATAGTACTACAATAAATATATGTGTGCATGCATCTTTACAGTAGAATGATTTATAATCCTTTGGGTATATATGCAGTAATGGGATTGGTGGGTCAAATTGTATTTCTAGCTCTAGATCCATGAGGAATCTCCACACTGTCTTCCACAATCGAACTAATTTACACTCCCACCAACAGTGTAAAAGCACTCCTATTTCTCTACATCCTCTCCAGCACCTCTTGTTTCCTGACTTTTTAAAGATCGCCATTCTAACTGGTGTGAAATGGAATCTCATTGTGGTTTTAATTTGCATTTATCTAATGACCAGTGATAATGAGCATTTTCTCCTATGTCTATTGGCTGCATAAATATCTACTTTTGAGAAGTGTCTGTTCATATCCTTTGCCCACGTTGTTTTTTTCTTGCAAATTTGTTTAAGTTCCTTGTAGGTTCTGGATATTATCCCTTTGTCAATCTATCTAATGGATAGATTGCAATAATTTTCTCCCATTCAGTAGGTTGCCTCTTCACTCTGATGATAGTTTCTTTTGCCGTGCAGATGCTCTGTAGTTTAACTAGATCCCATTTGTCAACTTGGCTTTTGTTGCCATTGCTTTTGGTGTTTTCGTCGTGAAGTCTTGCCCATGCCTATGTCCTGAATGGTATTGCCTAGGTTTTCTTCTAGGGTTTTTATGGTTTTAGGTCTTATGTTTAAATCTGTAATCCAGCTTGAGTTAATTTTTGTATAAGGTGTAATGAAGCAGTCCAGTTTCAGCTTTCTGCATATAGCTAGCCAGTTTTCCCAACACCATTTATTAAATAGGGAATTCTTTCCCCATTGCTTGTTTTTGTCAGGTTTGTCACAGATAAAATGGTTGTAGATGTGGGCCGTTATTTCTGTTCCATTGGTCTATATATCTGTTTTGGTCCCAGTACCATGCTGTTTTGGTTACTGTAGCCTTGTAGTATAGTTTGAAGTCAAGTAGCGTGTTGCCTCCAGCTTTGTTCTTTTTGCTTAGGATTGTCTTGGCATGCAGGCTCTTGTTTGGTTTCATATGAAATGTAAAGTAGTTTTTTCTAATTCTGTGAAGTTTTTTCTAATTCTGTGTCAGTGGTAGCTTGATGGGAATAGCATTGAATCTATAAATTACTTTGGGCAGTATGGCCATTTTCACAATATTGATTCTTCCTACCCATGAGCATGGAATGTTATTCCATTTGTTTGTGTCCTCTCTTATTTCCTTGAGCAGTGGTTTGTAGTTCTCCTTAAAGAGGTCCTTCACATCCCTTGTAAGTTGTATTCCTAGGTATTTAATTCTCTTTGTAGCAACTGTGAATGGGAGTTTGCTCATGGTTTGGCTCTCTGTTTGTCTATTTTTGGTATATAGGAATGATTGTGATTTTTGCACATTGATTTTATATCCAGAGACCTTGCTGAAGTTGCTTATCTGCTTAAGGAGTTTTTGGGCTGAGATGAAGGGGTTTTCTAAACATACAATCATGTGATCTGCAAACAGAGACAATTTGACTTCCTATCTTCCTATTTGAATACGCTTTATTTCTTTCTCTTGCCTGATTGCCCTGGCCAGAAATTCTAATTCCATGTTGAATAGGAGTATTGAGAGAGGGCATCCTTATCTTGTGCCGGTTTTCAAAGGGAATGCTTCTAGCTTTTGCCCATTCAGTATGATATTGGCTGTGAGTTTGCCATAAATAGCTGTTATTATTTTGAGATGTGTTTTATTAATACCTAGTTTATTAAGTGTTTTTAGCATGAAGGAGTGTTGAATTTTATCAAAGGCCTTTTCTGCATCTGTTGAGATTATCGTGTGGTTTTTGTCATTGGTTCTGTTTATGGGAAGGATTACATTTATTGATTTGCATATGTTGAACCACTCTTGCATCCCAGGGATGAAGCTGACTCGATCATGGTGGATAAGCTTTTTAGTTTGCTGCTGGATTCGGTTTGCCAGTATTTCATTGAGGATTTTTGCATCAGTGTTCATCAGGGATATTGGCCTGAAATTTTCTTTTTTTGTGTCTCTGCCAGGTTTTGGTGTCAGGATGATGCTGGCCTCATAAATTGAGTTAGGGAGGAGGCCTTTTTCCATTGTTTGGAATAGTTTCAAAGGAATGGTACCAGCTCCTCTTTGTTCCTCTGGTACAATTCGGCCATGAATCCGTCTGGTCCTGGGCTTTTTTTGGTTGGTAGGCTATTAATTACTGCCTCAATTTCAGAAATTGTTATTGGTCTATTCAGGGATTCAACTTCTTCCTGGTTTAGTTTTGGGAGGGTGTATGTGTCCATGAATTTATCTATTTCTTCTAGATTTTCTAGTTTATTTGCGTGGCAGTGTTTATAGTATTCTCTGATGGTAAGTTTATATTTCTGTGGGATCAGTGGTGAGATCCCCTTTATCTTCTTTTATTGTGTCTATTTAATTCTTCTCTATTCGTCTGGCTAGCAGTCTATTTATTGTTAATCTTTTCAGAAAACCAGCTCCTGAATTCATTGATTTTTTTTTTGAAGGGTTTTTGTGTCTCTATCTTCTTTAGTTCTGCTCTGATCTTAGTTACTTCTTGTCTTCTGCTGGCTTTTGAATTTGTTTACTCTTGGTTCTCTAGTTTTTTAAATTGTGATGTTAGGATGTCGATTTTAGATCTTTCCTGCTTTCTCCTATGGGCATTTATTGGTATAAATTTCCCTCTATACACTGCTTTAGCTGTGTCCCAGAGATTCTGGTATGTTGTATCTTTATTCTCATTGGTTTCAATGTTTCAAATAACTTATTTATTTCTCGCTTAATTTCATTATTTACCCAGTAGTCATTAAGGAGCAGGTTGTTCAGTTTCCATGTAGTTGTGTGTTTTTGAGTTAGTTTTTGAATCCTGAGTTCTAATTTAATTGAAATGTGGTCTGAGAGACTGTTACGATTTCTGTTCTTTTGAGGCATGTTTTACTTCCAATTATGGGTTTGATTTTAGAATAAGTGCTATGTGGTGCTGAGAAGAATGTATATTTTGTTGATTTGGGGTGGAGAGTTCTGTAGATGTCTATTAGCTTTGCTTGTTCTAGAGCTGATTTCAAAGTCCTGAATATCCTTGTTAATTTTGTGTTTCATTGCTCTCTCTAATGTTGATAGTGGGTTGTTGAAGTCTTCTGTTATTATGGTGTGGGAGTCTAAGTCTCTTTGTAGGTCTCTAAGGACTTGCTTTATGAATCTGTGTGTTCCTAGATTGGGTGCATATATATTTAGGATAGTTAGCTCTTCTGGTTGCATTGATCCCTTTACCATTATATAATGCCCTTCTTTGTCTTTTTTGATCTTTGTGGGTTTAAAGTCTGTTTTGTGAGAAACTAGGATTGCAACCCCTGCTTTTTTTTTGCTTTCCATTTGTTTGGTAAATCTTCCTCCATCCCTTTATTTTGAGCCTATGTGTGTCTTTACATGAGAGATGGGTCTCCTGGTCTCCTGAATACAGTACACTAATGGGTCTTGACTCTATCCAGTTTGCCAGTATGTGCATTTTAATTGGGACATTTAGCCTGTTTACATTTAAGGTTAATATTGTCATGTGTGAATTTGATCCTGTTATGATGCTAGCTAGTTATTTTGTCCATTACTTGATGCAGTTTTTTCATAGTGTGGGTGGTCTTACACTTTGGCTTCTTTTTGCAGTGGTTGGTAGTGGTTTTTGCTTTCCATATTTAGTGCTTCCTTCAAGAGTGCTTGTAAGGCAGGCCTGGTGGTGACAAGATCTCTCAGCATTTGCTTGTCTGTAAAGGATTTTATTTCTCCTTCACTTATGAAGCTTAGTTTGGCCGGGTATGAAATTCTGGGTTGAAAATTCTTTTCTTTAAGAATGTTGAATATTGTCCTCCACTCTCTTCTGGCTTGTAGGGTTTCTACTGAGAGATCTCCTCTTAGTCTGATGGGCTTCCCTTTGTGGGTTACCCGTCCTTTCTCTCTGGCTGCCCTTTCCATTTTTTCCTTCATTTCAACCTTGGTGAATCTGACGAGTTTGTGTCTTGGGACTGCTCTTCTCAAGGAGTATCTTTTTGGTGTTCTCTGTATTTCCTGAATTTGAATGTTGGCCTGTCTTGCTAGGTTGGGGAAGTTCTCCTGGATAATAAATTTCCTGAAGTGTGTTTTCCAACTTGTTCCCATTTTCCCCATCACTTTCAGGTACACCAATCAATCATGGGTTGGGTCTACTCACATAGTCCCATATTTCTTGGAGGCTTTGTTCATTCCTTTTCATTCTTTGTTTTCTAATCTTGTCTTCACACTATATTTCATTAAGCTGATCTTCAATCTCGGATATCCTGTTTTTTGCTTGATCAATTCGGCTACTGATACTTGTGTATGCTTCATGAAGTTTTTGTGCTGTGTTTTTCAGCTCCATCGGATCATTTATGCTCTTCTCTGAACTGGTTATTCTAGTTAGCAATTCGTCTAACGTTTTTTCAAGGTTCTTAACTTCCTTTCATTGGGTTAGAACATTGTCCTTGAGCTCGGAGGAGTTTGTTATTACCTACTTCCAAAGGCTACTTATGTCAATTCGTCAAACTCATTCTCGGTCCAATTTTGTTCCCTCGCTGGCGAGGAGTTGTGTTCCTTTGGAGGAAGAGAGGTATTCTGGTTTTTGGAATTTTCAGCCTTTTTGTGCTGGTTTTTCCTCATCTTCATGGATTTATCTACCTTTGATCTTTGCTGTTGGTGACCTTTGGATGGAGTTTTTGCGTGGCCTTTTTGTTGATGTTGATCCTATTGCTTTCTCTTTGTTAATTTTCCTTCTAACAGTCAGGCCCCTCTTCTGCAGGTCTGCTGGAGTTTGCTGAGGGTCCACTGCAGACCTTGTTTGCCTGGGTATCACCAGTGGAGGCTGCGGAACAGCAAAGATTGCTGCCTGCTCCCTGCTCTTGAAGCTTCATCCCAGAGGAGCGCCCACCAGATGACTGTCGGAGCTCTCCTGTAAGAGGTGTCTATTGACCCCTGCTGGGAGGTGTCTCCCAGTCAGGAGGCATGGGGGTCAGGGACCCACTTGGGGAGGCAGTCTCGAGCTCTGTGCTGAGAGATCCGCTGCTCTCTTCAGATCTGGCAGGCAGGAACATTTAAGTCTGCTGAAGCTGCGCCCACAGCTGTCCCTTCCCCCAGGTGCTCTACCTCAGGGAGATGGGAGTTTTATCTATAAGCCCCTGACTGGGGCTGCTACTTTTCTTTCAGAGATGCCCTGCCCAGAGAGGAGGAATCTAGAGAGGGAGTCTGGCTTCAGAGGCTTTGAGGCACTGCAATGGGCTCTGCCCAGTCTGAACTTCCCAGTGGCTTTCTTTACACTGTGAGGGGAAAACTGCCTACTCAAGCCTCAGTAATGGTGGATGCCCCTTTCCCCACCAAGCTCGAGTATCCCAGGTCGACTTCAGAGTGCTGTGCTGGCTGCGTGAATTTCAGGCCAGTAGATTTTAGCTTGCTGGGCTCCGTGGGGCTGGGATCCGCTGAGCGAGACCACTTGGCTCCCTGGCTTCAGCCTTCTTTCCAGGGGAAAATGGAAATGGTTCTGTTTTGCTGGCATTTTAGGCACCACTGTGGTACCAAAAATAACTCCTGCAGCTAGCTCAGTGTCTGCCCAAATGGTCGCCCAGTTTTGTGCTTTAAAGCAGAGCCTTTGTGGTGTAGGCACTGGAGTTAATCTCCTGGTTTGTGGGTTGTGTAGACAGTGGGAAAAGCCTAGTATCTGGGCCAGATAGCACCGTCCCTCAGGGCACAGTCCCTCACAGCTTCCCTTGGCTAGGAGGAAGAGTTCCCTGACCCCTTGAGCTTCCTGGGTGAGGCAACGCCCCACCCTGCTTCTTCTCGCCTTCCATGGGCTGCACCCACTGTCTAACCCATCCCAGCGACATGAACTGGGTACCTCAGTTGGAAATGCAGAAATCATCCACCTTCTGCATTGGTCTTGCTGGGAGCTGCAGACCAGAGCTGTTCCTATTTGGCCATCTTGCCTGGGAATCCTAACTCAAATAAATTTAAAGAAAGGCTATATTTTCTCTAATGAATCTCAAGATTTTTATGTATTTAGATAAATAAAGTAAAAATTGTCATAATAGGCAGAATCCAAAATGCAGTTATATAAACCATTGATATATAAAATTGTGAGATTAATAAAAAAGAGCATTTTTATTGTGTTCCTATAGTTACAAAAGCACATGTGCAAATATTGAAAAACGTAAATATTTGAATAAACATCAGATTGAGAGAGCCACAAACAATAACAAGGCATCACACTTGGATATTCTTCATCTTTCTGAGAATTATGTAAATTTAGGGTAATTTATGTATAGAACTGGCCTGCACGTAGGCCATCAGGTGATGTGGTTTGGCTGTGTCCCCACCCAAATCTCATCTTGAAATGTAGTTTCCATAATCTCCACATGTTGTGGAAGAGACCCAGTGGGAGGTAACTGAATCATGGGGCCAGTGTCACCCATACATGGTAGTAAGTTCTCATGAGATCTGATGGTTTTATAAGGGGCTTCCCCCTTCATTTGGCTCTCATTCTTCTCCTTCCTGCCCCCTTGTGAAGAAGGGAGTGTTTGCTTCCCCTTCCACCATGACTGTAAGTTTTCTGAGGCCTTCCCAGTGACCCTGAACTGTGAGTCAATTAAAACTCTTTCCTTTATAAATTACCCAGGCTTGGGCAGTTCTTTATAGTAGCGTGAGAATGGACTAAATACATCAGGCAAATGAAAAATGTCTTATTTCTAAATATGCATTATTATTGATTTTTACTTTATTTGTATGCATTTCCAATCAAAATTTTCTAAACATAAACCAAAACCAAAACACTGTGAGCTAGGCTTTGCATTAAAACAAGTAGCAGAATTAAACACTGATATTGAATATAATTTATGATGATATGAATACTGTGTTGAAAACATTAACAAATAAAATAATAGTTAAAATATAACTATAATTTTAAAAATCTAATTCAGATTTAAAATATTTTTTTAAAAAGCAACAAACCGTTATCACTGAAAATAAAAACTCATTGGAGGGATTAAATAGAATTCTGAACAAAGCTATAGAGGTAATTAGTAAGTGGAATCTAGATGAGAGGGAGAGAAAACAAAGAGTTCTAAACAACAACAACAACAATATATTATCTGTTCAATTCACTTTTAATGAGATTCTCAAATGGAGAAAATGCAATGAATAAAAAACATCTATATTAGAAAAAACAATGAATAATTTTGAGAACACTGAAAAGGAGTCTTCAGATACAGGAACATAAAATATGCTCATTAGGGAAAATAAAAATATGCACTGAAACTCCTGTGAAACTAAAGAACATCAAGCATTATAAGATGAACAACAAAAAACACAGATGTCACAACAAAAGGGATGGTAGAAAAAGGAGAAGAGAATAATTGCAAACTGCTGAGAAAGTAAATACGTTCTGTAACCAAGGAATATTTTACTCAACAGGATTTTTTTAAAGAGAAACTCAGATGGATAAAGATCAAGAGATTACCAAGATTACACTCAACTCACTTATAAAAAATCAACTAAAAGAAGAAAGACAATTATTTCACAGGAAATTTCCATGATGACAACATAAATGTTGAGTAAAGAAATTGGTAAACACATCATTAAATCTAAACAAATAACACGAACATAAAATAATACCAATATGAAAGTAGGGGGCTTATAACGTCAACAGTGATGATAAATACCATTAATTGAGTTCTTATAATGAACTACTTATTGTTCTGTGGTACTTTAAATGAAGTAAATTATTGGCTCAGTGGAACAATCTGCTGAATAATGTACTCAAATACATTAAATAAAAATATAATAATAGAGTTAAAACAGTTTTAAAGGATTATTAAAGTACCAGTAATTATATTTGCAAATTATACTTTTAAGTTAAAAACCCTTGTTAAAGGCCAGGCGTGGTGGCTTATGCCTGTAATCCCAGCACTTTGGGAGGCCGAGGCGGGCGGATCACCTGAGGTTGGGAGTTCGAGACCAGCCTGACCAACGTGGAGAAACCCTGTCTCTACTAAAAATACAAAATTAGCCGGGCATGGTGGCTCATGCTTGTAATCCCAGCTAGTCAGGAGGCTGAGGCAGGAGAATCGCTTGAACCCGGGAGGTGGAGGTTGCGGTAAGCCAAGATCCTGCCATTCATTGCACTCCAGTCTGGGCAAAAAGAGTGGAACTCTGTCTCAAGAAAATTAAAAAAAAAAAAAAATCCTTGTTAATAACTAAAGAGTAATCAAATAATAATCAGAATGAATAGTTCCCATTAAAAATAGAAGGAATAATTTGAAGAAGATATTGAAAGCAAGAAAATAAGTAGTTAATAAAATGGAGTTACTGGGAAAATTAAGAGATAGGCATAAAAAAATAAAGAAAATATGAAAAGAAAGCAGGACAACAAGGAAGAAAATCAAAATAATAGAAAAATTTCATGTGTACAAGACACATGCAAACATTGAAGAAAGTTAACCTTTTTTACTTAAAAGTTTACACAAAATAGAGAAGCTCAGAAATTCTAAAGTAAAATAATAGATACAAAAATTATGCCTGGAAAACAAATAAAAATAAAGTTTAAACAATTATTTGAAGATTAAAAATATAATTTTAGGCAAAACTTCAGTAATAGGATTGGGGAGAATCATTAAATAATGTGTTAACTTCATCTGGAAAAATGCATATTCTAAATTTGTAAGAAATTAATAAAGAGTCTCAAAATATATAAAGCAAAAATTTACAAAACTTAAAGACATTGAAAACAAAGCGTTGTAAGAAAAAAATTTAATCTACCTTTTATTAAAAATTGATGAGTCAACCAGACAATAATTAAACAGATAAATAACAAAAATTTTGATAAGCATTATTTCACAATTAGTTAAATAACTATTTTAAAGTGTATACAAATGTGAAAATGCCTTATCACAGCATTAAATTAACAGTTAACAAATTAAGCATAGGGCAACTCATTAAGGAAATGTAAGGAAATTTGAAAAATATATGCATTATAGGATCATGTTAGAAGACTAGAATCAAAATATTTTAGTAATTCATAATTAAATGAATGATAAATGCCATTGTGTTTTTAACAATATGAGGATTAGAGGTCCCAAGTCCTCATGAGTTGAAAATCTGCATGTAACTTTTGATTCCTTAAAACTTAATTTACTAATAGCCTACTGTCAGTTGGAAGCCCTACAAATAACATAAACGTTTGATTAACACATACTTTGTATATTACATGTATTATATACTCTGTTTTTACAATAAAGTAAGCTAGAGAAAATAAAATGTAAGAAAGAGAAAATACATTTACTATTTATTAAGTGTAAATGGATCATCATGAAGGTCTTTATCTTAATCATCTTCGTTTTGAGTAGGCTGAGGAGAAGAAAGAAAGAGGAGGTGTTGGGCTTGTTGTCTTAGGGGTGGCAGAGGCGTAAGAAAATCTCTGTATACATGGACCCATGCCGTTTAAACTTGTGTTATTTGAAATTTAACTGTATGATTTATAACTTACATCTGAAAATGTTTAGATACACCACAAAAATTATCCTAGTTTAAATAACTTGTCAAAGAAAATAAACATATACTTGTGTGTGTGTGTATATAAACACACCCACACATGCATATATGGTAATATATTTGCTAATTGGTTGTATTTATTAGTTCAATTATAAATATATATGACTGATGAATTTACATATATATATACATATATATAACTGATAAAATTTTGAAGTAAAACCTTGTGTTAAACATTGTGAAATGAAGCTACATAGATTTTTTAAATTGTATAGCCTCAAATCCTTAATTAGTTCATTATAAATCTGACTAAAAATTACTGTGCACTAGTTATAAACTTACACAAAAAAGAAACAGAATAAACTACAATAAACAATTTAAAAATGCAACAGTAATTAGAAATCACAAAATAGAAATAAATGCCAAATAGAAGGAGCTAGCAAAGCCCAACACTGGTTCTTTGAAAAGACCAATTAAAAAATTAAAATTGTGTCAGAAAGCTGTGGGTTGGGGAAGAGGGAAGATAGGGAACCAAAGGAGGAAGAAAAAAAAAAATAGAAAAATGAAAGAAGGAAAACAAAAAGGAAACAAAGACTCCAAAAAAATCAATCTTGCAAACAAAAGGAAAGAGAGGACATAATATAAAGAACAATAAATATTTTATAAGGTAAGATAACAATCAACTAATTTGTTTCAATTCATTTGATAACAAATAGAAATAAATTATTTCCCAGAGGGGGCAGGGTGGAGGAGGGAAAGAAAAACACTTACCAAAAGTTATTTACAAATAAAAAGAATACTTGAGTATCAAAGTAATAGAACCAATAGTTAAAAATGTTTGTACTAGATTAACATCAGTGAGATGACAGAATGAGAAACTCAAAATCTAACCCCTACATGGAAAATGGGCTAAAACTATATAAATCCATTTATTATGAGTTCTGAAAGTTGTCTAAAGTGATAGATAATAGTTGGGGCAAATAATAGACTAACCAAAAACTTGGGAGGAAAAGCTAGGAAATGAGAGGTCATAAGAGAAATTAATACAAGTCGTGGCTGAGGAAGCCCAGATCTTGGATTTTCTAGACAGGTATCTTCAGTCAGCTATTTTAAATATGAACAATGAGGTAAAGTAAACTATGTGTACAGAGCTAAAGGAAACTGTGGGAAGGATGCGTCAACCAACCGAGAATATTAATAAAGGGAAAGCAATAATAAGCAACCAAATAATAATTTGAAAGTTGAAAGTAAAAATTGCTGAAATAACAAATTTACTAGAGGGCCTCTACAACAAATTCAAGTGGGCAAAAGAAAGAATGAAGACCAGTTAATTGAGATTATTCTGTCAGAGAAACAGAAGACTGAAGAAGAATGGACAGATCCTCAGAAATCTGTGGAACATCATTAAGTGTAACTACATATCCATCTTAGGGGTTCAAGAAAAGGAGAAAAAAAGATAAATGAACACACAGGATATTTGAAGACATAATGGCACAAAGCTCCCAAATTCAACACATTGCTTTGGCTATTTAGGGTCTTTGGTGGTTCCCTATGAATTAGCTATAAAGAAAATCCAAATCAAAACCAAAATGAGATAACAGTTGGCTGTAATTTTTTTTTAAACAAGGAAAATAAGTGTGTGAGGGTGTGAAAAAATTGGTACCTTTGTTCATTACTGGTGAGGTTAAGTTTAAACTCATGAAGCCACTATGAAAGATGGCCGGGCAGTTCCTCAAAAAGTTAAACATAGAATTACCACATATATTAGTCCATTTGCATTTCTTTATTATTATTATTATTATTTTTTGAGATGGAGTCTCGCTCTGTCACCAGGCTGGAGTGCAGTGGCATGATCTCGGCTCACTGCAACCTCTGCCTCCCGGGTTCCAGCGATTCCCCTGCCTTAGCCTCCCTGGTAGCTGGGATTACATGCGTGTGCCACCATGCCCGGCTAGTTTTTTGTATTTTAGTAGAGATGGGGTTTCACCATGTTGGTCAGGATGGTCTCGATCTCCTGACCTCATGATCCACCCGCCTCAGCCTCCCAAAGTGTTGGGATTACAGGCATGAGCCACCACGCCTGGCCGTCTATTTGTATTTCTGTTAAGGAACACCTGAGGCTGGGTAATTTACAAAGAAAAGAAATTTATTTGGCTCATGGGTCTGCAGGCTGTATATGAAGCATCGTGCCAGCATCTACTTTTTGATGAGTGCCTCAGGAAGCTTACAATCATGGTGGAAGGTAAAGGGGAGCCAGCATGTCACATGGCAAGAGAGGGAGTAAGAGACAAGGCAGGAGGTGCCAGGATCGTTTAAGCATTAGTTCTCATATGAACTGATAAAGTGAGAACTCACTCATTAATGCGATGACACCACCACCACCAAGCCATTTATGAAGGATCCACCCCTGTGCCCCAAACACCTACTTAGCCCCACCTCCAACATTGAGGATCACATTTCAACATGAGCTCTGCAGAGGACACACATCCAAATCATATCACCATATGACCCTGCAACTTCATTCCTAGATATATACTTAAGAGAATTGAAAACGTATGTTCACTCAGAAAAATGTTCATAGCAGCATTATTCACAACAGCCAAAGTGTGGAAACAACTTAAGTGTTCATCAGTTAATGAATGGAGAAACAAAGTGTGGTATATTCATAAAATAGAATATAATTTAGATAGAATATAATTTAGCCATAAAAGGGAATAATATACTGTTACATGCAACAATGCGGTTTCACTTTGAAGACATTTTGTTATGTGAAAGAAGCCAGACACAAAAGGCCACAGACTATCATTTTATTATATGAAATCCCAGGACAGGCAAATCTATAGGGACAAAAAGTAAATTAGTAGTCGTCAGGGGATAGGGAAAAGAGAGTATTAGGACTAATTGCTAATTGGTATGACTTTTTTTTTTTGTTGGCGAAAAGGGTGAACAGTGGAATGTCCAAGAATTAGTTGTGATATTACACACTGAACACTAAAATGTACATTTAAAAATAGTATCTAAAGTAGTCTGCAATAAATAACAACAGGCACAAGTAATTTTACATGCAAGCACTACCAAATGTTCAAGGAACAGTTACTTCCAAACTTATAAAAACTTAATAGCATAAAATGTTGAACACAGTTATCCTGTCTACTAATTTTATGATACTAGTATGACTTGATACCAAAAAAAAGAAATACCAGAAAACTCAGAAAAGTACTGCCTAAAAAGTTATGATTACAGGCCAGTATAATTTATCATTAATGACAATAGATGCAATAATATTTAAAAAGTTACAAATGGAATAAAAATGCTTTTTCTCTGTTTGCATGCCTTTAATTATATATGTGTGTGTGGGTGTGTGTGTGTGTGCATGTGTGTGCGTGTATGTGAATATTTATAAAATATGATCAAATTGAATTCATCTCAGAAATGTGAGAGTTGTTTAAGAAAATCTATAAAGTATTACATTGAATATATCAAAATTTAGAATATCTGCAAGAAACTAAAATATGAAATAATTTATATAAAAGTCTAACTGCATATTGCTGATTTGATAGAGATGTAAATATATATATATGTATATACACATATATGTATATCTACATACATATACACCCACATATGCGTATATCTTGAGGATGATGATTACTTTTAGAGAGACAGCAGATAATACATGCAACCTATCAGGTATAAAATGATTCTTCAACTATGTTGATTATATTTTAGTTTTAAACTGGATAATTGCTATATAAAGTGTTGTGTTTTATCTTTTACATTTTTTATTTCTGTGTTGTTTTACACCTATGTTTATATAGAAGCAAATGCGTTGGTTTACCTTTAATTCTCTTTTTCTAATTTTTTAAATCCGTTAATAATAACTATACTTATACATACTAGATTTCAATAATAATATATAACTTTCCAAGCTTCTTAACATTTTTACATGTACTAAGATATTCAAATTATATATTTTCCTCAAAAATGTATTGATATCCTTAAAAGTAATAATGATAAACACTGTTTTCATATTCATGAAATCTTACCCACATGCCAGTGTAAATTTTTCTCTTTTTATATCTAAAATGATTATTTGTGCATTGAGGTGAACAAATTATTTTAGTAGTTGGAACCAGAGCTTCTCTTAAGAAGGATTTGCCTTTAATTGAGAAGAAATATCATCTTAGGCTGCTTTTAGTGAGGAAGACGAGTGAAAAAGAAAGTATGAGCTTGTGAATGTAAATAAACACAAGGAGGAAAAATGTGAGAAGAAAAAGAAGAAAGGATTGAGAGAAATGACAGGAAGAAAGAGAGAGAGAAAGCACACTTTGAGTGAGACATAAAAAGGCAGTCAGCAAAGGAAGACAAAGAGACCAATAAAAGAAGAAAGAAACATAAAAAGAGAGGTGGGGAATGGAAAAGCAGCCCCACAACATGGCAGGAAGCTGGTTAGCAGAGGAAGATGGCCAGTAAGACCTCCCAAGGATGAGATGAGGAAGGACTTCTCAATCAAAGGAGTCTAACATTGCATTCTGCATTATTTGCATTGCTTTGAACTTCCTCAGATACACAATACAGTCTGATTATCTTGTTAAGTCTTGTGTAGTAGATGTGAAAAGTAAGTAGAAATATAATAAAGAGAAACATGGTCTGCCAAAAATCTCCCCCTTTGCAGAGAGTCCAGCATTCTGTTAAGGACCTACTTGTCCAGAAGTTCTAGGCAATGACTTGCACAAAATGAAAAAGAACAATTACCAGGTGGATTTCTCAGGCATGGGTATGTCACACACAAACACATCCACACACACACTCACACCTCCCTACCCATGAACAAACACACAGATTTTTATATAAGAAAATGTTAATCAAAGTAGTTAGATAAATTAGGTCATATTTTATATAAAAACAAACAGTATTTTTATTTCATTTTTAAGTTATTTTTTTTTCCTGTTAAAAAATCACTTATTTAGGATTTACATTTGTTATGGTACAAACTTCCACATGATGTGTTTTTTCAGAGTTTACTAAAGTGAAGGGGAATAACAAAGTTGTTACAACAATATTTTAAATACCCTATGTAAAACATTTGTCTTGATTATGTGGGAAATGCCTTCAGTATTTCAAGTGTGGAAGTTTCCATTGAATGGAAATTGCTTTGAAGTCACTTTCTCAAAAGCTTTATTGAAGTATAATAAATAAAAGTTTTATGAATTTATGATGTACAAAGTGACATTTTGATATATGCATGCATTGTAAAATAATTACTGCAATCAGTATAAACATATTCATCACTTCACATAATTATGTTTTGTGCATGTGTGTGGTGAGATTATTTAAGATCTACTCTTAGTAAATTTCAAGTATAGAATCTCTTATTAACTATTGTCACTCTGCTATATGGTAGCTCTCCAGAACTTATTCATCTTGCCTAATTGAAACTGTGTACCCACTGAAATTATAGCTTCTTCATTTCCAATGAGAAATCCTCACATAGCTCATCAGTGAGCTCTGCTTTTGGGGCTCCAAGTGATCCATAGTCGAACCACATGTTTAAAAATTAACACCAGGCTGGGCATAGTGACCCGTAATCTCAGCACTTTGGGAGGCTGAGGTGGATGGATCACTTGAGGCCAGGAGCTTGAGACCAGCCTGGCCAACATGGTGAAACCCCATCTCTACTAAAAATACAGAAATTAGCTGGGCGTGGTGGCAGGCACCTATAGTCCTAGCTACTTGGGAGGCTGAGGCAGGAGAATTGCTTGAACCCAGCGGGGGAGAGGTTGCAGTGAGCTGAGATTGACTGCACTCCAGCTTGGGCAACAGAGTGAGAATCCGTCTCAAAAAAACAAAACACTAAATTTCTCGTTTCTGGGAATAAAACTGTGTTTCATTGTTTAGGCATTTTTAACAAGTTCATTATGTTTCTTTTAGTCATCGAAACAACAGTATTACATATCCACCATTTATGTTTAAGAAGGTAATTTTCCTAAAACTCTATTATAATGTTTCCCTACTTTCTTTCAGTCTGGTACAATATTTATAGTTCCTTTGATTATTTCTACAACTCTGCTTTAATGTTTGCACTTTACAGAAATTTCCTAAGTATGATAAAAGGAAATATTTAATGTAATGCATCCCTCCTCCATACTCCTTTCATACTTCTTGTTGACAAGAAGTATGATAGGGCAAGAAAAATAAAAATAAATAAAGTGTTATGTGAATGGTTTAACCAAATTGTCCACTGATTAATACTCCTGTTTGCAAGCGAGTGAATACTTATGATCATTTTCGTATACCGTGAAAAGTTGTACCTCACTCCAGAGAACAGCAGATAATTCTAATATATAATAGAAAGAGATATGGGAACACTTGTTTTAATTAAAAATCTGTTTGTCTTATCTTGATTTCAGAATAGATAAACAAAATAGATATTTTTCATCAAGCAGTATAACAACACAGTTCTTTTAAAAATAGATAATATTAAGACAATTATTAAAATCAACCCGGTGCTTGAGCAAAACCTCATATATAAATGTGTTTTAAAATCAATAATATCCCAAAAGCCTACTTTGTAGGTATGAGATATTACTGATTTTTAGTAGTATACTCTAAAATGAAGATATTTATGATACGTAAGATAAATCAATTTATTAGTGAACTAATGGCTCTAGTCTGTTAGAATTTCCAGTTGTATGGGTATGCCTTCCATTTCTCAAAAAAGTAAGAAGGCTTGAGTTTTGTTTATTTAAAAGTTTCTAGAGATAGAAAGTTTAAGGCATCATTGTTATTCTCTATTCTTCAGTATTTCTTTTCATTCATTTATGTAAATGCATACCTCTGCCATTGAAGATTTCTAAAAGGAAAGTATATGGGAGAATAATGAATCTTCTGTAATAAGAACATGTACAGTTGGAGCAAGATAGCTTTTATGTGAACATAACACATGCTACAATAGATTCCCCAGAATAATTGACACCCCAAACGAGTACAGTTGCCATTTTATAAATGTATATCTTTTTACTGCTGAGAATCATTATTGAGATAGTGAGCCTGGTAAATTGTTGACAGTAGATGGGTATAGAGGGAGAATATGTAGAGGTAGTTATTGCTGAATAGCACACAGGTACTAAGAGTGGAGGCAATCAGTGTGAGTGTGTGGTGTCTGACTGCAAGTATGGATGATAATTGGTAACAGAAATTTTTTCAAGGTGATGTGTCAGGGTGACCTAGCAGACAGCTGGAGCACAGTGGCAGGTATTCCCAGAATCAGACAGAAAGAAATGTATAGTAGAGGCTTACACAGAGGTTCGAGATTACTGCCAACCCTTCTTACAAACTTAATAGAAAAAGATCTTAACATCAATGTGATATGAGATGTTAAACTAATTATCAAAGCAAACATGTAAGACCAATAGTCCTTAATGTAGTGGTATGGGAGCATCTTAAGAGCTCAAAGCTTAGGTTGCAGTAGTGCAATTAACTTAATCAGGACAGTGAGTCATGATAAAGAAGGTAGCAAAGAGAGAGGATATCATACATCATTTAATAGTCTCTTAATGTGATAGCTTACACCCTGAGTACTGAGCTCCATTTAATTCTCAAACTGTACATTTGAGTAGATGCTTCAAATGTAAACTCATAAGTAATTTGTTTACATTCAAATTAAACTGTAAATGCTGAGAGAAATTATCTGTTTTATTCTTTCTTAGTTCTTTTATGTTACATAGTACTTGACTTTTAGTGAACACTTAGGCGATATTTATAGATGCAATTGTTCTTGAAATAACAAAGCTGAAATTAAACTTGAATATTATTGAATAGAAATTTCTTTTGTTTTCAGTGTTTAATTTTGAAGGACATTGCTTAGAGTTTGGAAAAAATAAGGTGGTAAAGGATGGAAATACTTGACATCATTGCCTATATACTTGACATGCTGAGTGATAGCAATTAGTAGTTAGTAACGCTTTTATAAAACCCGAACTGACTGTGCCCCTATTTTTACTGGGAGCAGAGAAGATGGCACAAATTCTTTCCTGGGTAACCATTGTCTCATTAAACATAATGTACATGCTTGCTCGCTCGCTCGCTCACTCGCTGTCTCTCTCTCCCCTCCCCCCCCCCCTTAACATTGATGAACCAGTACTGCTCTCAGAGGTTTTCTACTCAGAAGCTGGCACAGATAGCATAGAACTGAGATAAAGAGAGAAAAAAATGATCTTTATAAGATAAGCATATATTACTTTATCTTCATTACCAACACATGAAAAAGAAAGCAAGGTATAAAGTCAGAGTCACAATCATTGTAAGTGATGGAGAGATTTAAATTTTAAAAACTCTTTTCATCCAACATATTCAGTATATAATCATATGTCACACATTGTTTTGGGTGAATATATGTATACTAGAGACTCCTCAGAACAAGTCTCTGACCTTATATAGCTTACATTGTAGAGAAAGAGAAGTAGATATAAAACAAATTAACAAGTAAATATATACAATATTGAATGGTGATAAATGCTATAGAGACAAATTCTTTTCCTATTTTAATATTTATCTTGTTGATTTTAAAAGCCCTTTATGCAATAAATATATGAATGCTTTTTAGTCCTATATATTTAAATGCTCTTTTTCCCCTGAAATTTTAACTACATCTTGTACTTTTGTTTATTTTCTGTCAATTCTAGAATGACTAAAAATAATCTTGTTTTCTTTGTTAGATTTTATGAAAGCTAAGTAAAACAGCAATTTGAATGCATTATGATTGACATAATTCAGATAGGGAACATGCTGCTTTCTGACTTCTAAAAGGGTATGTGAGTTTTATAACAATGTTTATGGAAAATTAGAGCTTTTAAAGTTATTGTATTTTCTCTTTAGTCATGCAAACGACATCTCCAACTGACTGATAAATGGTCATTAGGAAATTGCATTTTAAAAAATTAAAAAAGAAATTAAGCAAAATCAAGATTTTTGCTTAAATTAAGATTTACAGAAGAAAAAGTATAGTATCTACTACAAAGAATGTCTTAGGAGGCACAAATTAAATCAACAAAAAAAATCATTGTGTGAAAATAAAATAACTAAAAATGTACCTTAAAGTGTGAACAAGACCTGTGGTTTAAAATCTCCATTTTATCCCTGATTGTGTAAATGTGAATTTGAATTATGGACAGAGTAGGATAAGCAGGAGTTCAAGAAATCTTGATGAGTTCCAATTTAAGAATATAATTCACCACAAAATGTCATGCCTTCCAGGAAGAGCATAGCACTCTAGTATAATTTGAAGATACTTATTGATAACAGTCTGAAATGTTTCCAATAAAACAAATGTTATAACCTTTGCACTATACATAAACTAGTTGAGATTTTTCTGCAAAATGTTTGTCCCCAATACCATAACACAAAATTTTCTAGGCCAGGTAATGATATTAGGACACTGAATTCTCTATGTATGTGAATCATGCATATTTATGAACTGTAATGTGATGTCGCCGGGCGCGATGGCTCACACATGTAATCCCAGCACTTTGGGAGGCTGAGGCGGACGGATCATTTGAGGTCAGGAGCTCAAGACCAGCCTGACCAATATGGTAAAACCCCGTCTCTACTAAAAAGACAAAAATTTGCCTGGCATGGTGGTGGTGGTGGATGCTTGTAATCCCACCTAGTTGGTAGCCTGAGGCAGGAGAATCCTTTGAACCTGGGAGGAGGTTGCAGTGAGCTGCGACTGTGTCACTGCACTCCAGCCTGGGCAAGAGAATGAGACTCTGTCTCAAAAAAATAAAAATAAAATAAAATAAAATGGTAATGTGTTGTGTTCTCTGAAAATAGATCCACTGCACTCCATTAGTGAAGGGTAAGGGTATGTTAATCTCTTAGTTTTTATTATAAAGTGAATTCTAATCAAGAATCAGTAGGTACCTTGGCAATAGATGCCTTTTAATAATGAACCAAATAAGAATATTAGGACTCAATTCCTTTACAGCAGTATGGTATTCTAAAAGCAATTAAAATATTAGGTTGGTGCAAAAGCAATTGCAGTTTTGAGAACAAGTGATAATTTTCAGGGATGTGCAGCTTGGGATATGTGTTTCTTAGTCAATGATATAGTTAGTAAAATTTTACGAATTATCACTGTTAGCCTTTTGTTATTTTTAGCTTTAAAGAAACTGTTCAGTGTATTTTTATTCTAAGAGAAAGACAAGGTAGACACATGGAAGAATATGTTGTAATCCATAGATGCCTTGACAGAAAAGGAGATTCATAGCTAGTAGGCATAGTCATAGTATTAACAGCAGCAACAGAAGCAACAGCAATAGCAGGAACAGGAGTGATTTTTTTTCTTTTTTAAATTTTAATAGATAATCAGCTATTAGTGCCAGATGTCTTCCTCTGCAGGTAAAATACCTTTTCTTCATTTCATCTAGAACTTGCCAGGGAAATAGTATAATGAAGTGTTTCTGCAATCAGACTGATAGAATTTCAAAATCCTACCTCTTTCACCTAATAAGTTCCTTTTTGTTTTGTTTCATTAACATGGCCCTTTCACTTCTCTAGGTTTCCCCAGCCATATAACAAATAAAAAGAATAATACAACCTGACTCATAAGGTTGCTGTGAGGACTAAATTAGACAACACATTTAAGGTACTTAGAACATGCTTGACACATATGAATCACAGAAAAAAAAGCTTCCTTTTATTATCTCTTCTTCTACAGTTAAGAAAACTTAAATTTAGAATATTTAAATAACATTTTATATCACATAACTCACAAGTTGCAAAATCAGGATTTACTCCAAGTGCTCTATGGTTCTAGAATGCAAGTAACATTTCATTCGGTATGGCAATTGTAGGGTTGAGAATTATGAATCATTTAAGATGTGTCTAGTTTAGCCATTGTTTTATGATCTGTTTTTTTTAATAGTTTTGTTCAAACTTTTCATGAAGGAATTAAGAAAACATTACTGGTCCCAATATGGAGTAAGGATAGTATATCTTGCACTAAACAGTTAAACACATGTGCATATGTACACACACAATTTATAAGAATTATATAATATTGATGTGAAGTTAAATGATTTGGAGCTCAGGCAATAACCTACTTCAAATAAATCAAAATAGACCACTTTGGCTATGTGGATCTATGTTATTTTTTATTCTTTTCATTCACAATTTCTTCATGTAGAATCCTTTTTTAAAAACAAGTGTTTTAGACCTAAGAATCTATAAAATATGTATAATATATCAGAAAATGAATAATATTCCCGAGGTCACACAGTGAGAAATTGAAAAATATTGTACTTAAACTTGGGAATTTTGACTGCTGGCCCAGTACTTTTTAACTAAGCTATCTTCTCTAATGGAATTACCCTTCAAAAGCCAAATTATTGACTTTTGGGAAATCAACGACGTAACAGAATTGGATATTGTATACAATGCAGTATTTTGGCACATTTGACTTTCCCAATAAATATGTAAATAGGTCTCTTTCAATTAGCAGAACTCTCAAAATGCTTGAGAGATAAATTTCCATTTGCTACTTCACCATATCTTATCTGGGCACCCCAGAACTTGCTTGCATGTTTGAGAATTAACTGTAATCTTTATATGCACACACATGGATATTTGTGTAAGTATGTATGTACGTATGCTGATGAGTAATACAAGAGAAACAATTTGAATGAATTTAAAATCACTTTCAAATAAAAAATGACACAGTAACTTTCTGGCTTATTTAAAACATCAAAGACACACAAATTTACCAATATTTGTAATCCTTTCCACTTTGAGGCATTTGCAGTCCAACACCATTAAAGCTTAGATTAGTTCTTTCTGTACTTCATTATATTTTATGATATCTTTTATCTTTCTTGTAAAACAAACTTTCTCTACACAGATGTTCCAAGAAATGGGCATTTATGGAAGATTGTGAACTCAATGATGAAGAGGTACAGAGCTGCAGAAAGAAGGAGTGGGTTGATACATTATTTTATAATTTTCAGTATTTAAGTCCTTATAACTTTTCTTCATTTTCTTAACACATTAACTCCTTATATCAGCACTTGTATTATTTTCTCAAAATTATTCTTTACAAATAGCCTATTACAGGAAATTAAGAATTGGAAAAGAAGGTACTATGTTCCAGAAATTAATCTGAGTATCTTTACCAGTGTGGAGATCACTGTCAATCTTTGCAAGTAATTCTTAAAACAAACAAAACCCAGAATTGATTATATAGAAAATATTTACAAGTTTCTATTCATTCATTTACTTATTTATCCAAAAGACATTTAAAGAATATCCCTTGTTGATATTTTATAATAAAATTAAGTAAATGGCAATGACTAAGATAAAACTGTTCTCAAGGAAGTCACAGTTGGTGGTAGAGAAAGGAAAAGGTCAGAGAGGTGCAATAGAGTGTGTTAACTGTTAAGGTCACCTCAGGGTGCTTACAGACAACAATAGAGGGAATTTAGATTTTGACAAAGGTGGGTGCAGCTATCATTAGGAAAGATTTACGTCAAATGTAGGGCATTGTTTTCACTCTACTTACGAGACAGATTTGCTACCTGCTATGGTCTGAATGTTTTTAACCCCCCAAAGTCATAAGTTAAAACCCTGCCCCCCATGTTGATGGTATTACAAGATGGGGCGAGGAGATTAGGGCATAAGCGCAGAACCTTTATGAATGGGATTAGTTCCCTTATAAAAGAGGCCCCATGTGAAAATACAGTGAGAAGGTACTGTTTATGAAGTAAGAAATGGGCCCTCACCAGACCATGAATGCACTGGCACCTTTATCTTGAATTTCCCAGCCTCTAGAACTGCGAGAAATAAATTTCAGTTGCTTATAAGCCACACAGTCTATGGTATTTTATTTTAGCATCCCCAAAGGACTAAGACAATATCAAATATTCATTTTCATGAACTTAAAAGAGTATTATCAAAACTTTTATTCTAATACCAGAGAGGCTAGTACCAAAAGTCAGATGACCTCATGTAAACAGGAAATTTGGCTAATTCATGGTTCCAACTCATTGAAAATTTGAATATTCAGATGTTCTAGGGTACAAGATCTTCTGTGTCTCCATCGTCTCTTCTCTGCATTAAATATTTATAAAACTATTTAACTATTTTCAGTATTTACTCATGTGCTTGTCCTTATGCTGAAAACTTTAAATGCACTATTTCATTTTAATCTTCACAACAGCCTTAAATATCAAATATGATTCTTATTTTAAATGAAGAAAAAGAGGCATTGATGAGTTAAATAACTTGCTGAATTTTAATTTCAGTAACTAGTGAAGGCAGGATTTAAACCCAGCTAGGCTAATTTCTGAGCCTTTGGTCTTAAACCACTGTATAGAATGTCATTAACCATGACAGTATATTACTTCTCTTCATACTAACATAATACTGGTCAGCTTTTATCCTTTGTTCTGAAATGCATTTGGCATGAAGTAATAGATTATAAACGATTAACACTGTCCATTTGAATTTTTTATCCTGGCTTAATGAGATTTAGAAGACAAAGCAACTAGTAAGCCTTAAAGAGTAGAAAAATCAATAAACATCATTATAATATTCACAATAATGGGAGATCACAACCATCACTTTTATTTGAATCTAATATTTAGGTCTCACTAATGAGACTAAAGGAATGTTTATATTTATTACTTAGGTAAACTTATAAAATAATAATCTTCAAATAGTAGTACAATTATATTTACCCAAAATATTTCACTGCTTAGGTTTATCTATTCAATTTAAAAAATATTGTTTGCTTTATATGTTTGTGTTGCAAGGTTTAAGGTTGACTATAAAAATCTTAACAATGAATTGTTTTGTGAATGAAATTGATATAACTGCCCAATGGCCAGTGTAAATTTTATTATCATAATTCTAATACTGTTTATGATTGTTTGTTTCCCAGATGTTATTAGGCTGCATTGAATCATACATACTTCATCAGAAATTCATGCCTAATGCTCAATGACATATTAAGAAGGCATTATCATTTTCCTTTATTGAAGAGACAGAGATTAGATTCAAGGAGAGTGTAGCAGCTGGAATTTGTGGAGTTATGGACAGTAGGGAAACACATAAATAGATCCAGATAACTGAAAAGACCTTTGAATCTATCGGTAAATACCAAGGCACGCATGCACAGGGTGAAACTCCATGAGGCTGGTAACGAATGATCCAGGAGCTGTGTTGAACAGTGCCTACATAAGACCTCAAGATATTTGAATTCTAACCATCCAGCGTGAAAAGTCCTCATAAGCACCAACAACATTCAAAAGAGACATTAGACAAGTTGTGCTTTAGTGAGATGGCTGAAATAGTTCTGAAATACAGGTAACTCTGCTTCCAACAAAAGTTACAAAGAAGTCAGGAAAGGGTTAAGGTAATCTGCAAATAGATTAGCTTCCTGCCAGAACAAAACTCAATACTCATTTAAAAAAAAAATAGTATTATAGTGATACAGCATTAAAAAAATATAGAAAAGTGATGTGTAGCTTATGATTTAAAAAATTACTAGATATATCCAACATCAGAATAATGTGACCTAAAACCAGGAGAAAAATCAGTATCCGGAAAGAGATCCAGAATAAGATTATGTCATTAGTAGACATGATCTCTAAAGTAGCTATCACAAATCTGCTCACAGACTTAAAGGGAAACAAACTGATGAGAAAAGAAATAGGAAACATAAAACTAAGTGAAACTTCGAAAAATGAGCATAAATTTTGTATACTGAGAAATTCGCTGACTGTAGTTAATTCCAGATTAGATATTGCAGAAGAAAATATCAGTGACTTTGAAGACATAACAAATCCAATCTAAACTAAAGCAGAGAGCAAAAAGTTGGAAAAATACTAGCTGACTTCCAGTGGCCTGTGAGACAATATCAAGTGGTCTAACTTTCCTAATTAGAGTCACACGATGAGAAGTCAGAAACAAGGGACAGAAAAAATATTTCAAGAAGTAATGACAAAAATTTCCCAAAGTTGATAAATTACAAAGAATAGCCAAATTTATAGTCACACTGAAGCATTTTAACACAGTTCCCTCTGTAACTGACAGATCACAAAGATAAAATTGAAGACTACACAACACAACTTCTGCCTGTTTCTTTTTTTTTTTTTTTTTTTGAGACAGAGTCTGGCTCTGTTGCAAGTCTGGAGTGCAGTGACCAGATCTCCGCTCATTGCAAGCTCCGCCTCCCGGGTTCACGCCATTCTCCTGCCTCAGCCTCCCGAGTAGCTGGGACTACAGGTGCCCGCCACCATGCCTGACTAATTTTTTGTGTTTTTAGTGGAGATGGGGTTTCACCGTGTTAGCCAGGATGGTCTCGATTTCCTGACCTCGTGATCCGCCTGCCGCAGCCTCCCATAGTGCTGGGATTACATGCGTGAGCCACTGCACCTGGCCAGCTTCTGCCTATTTCTCATGGGACACTGTTCTGGGGAAGCCAGTAACCATGTAAGATGTTAAACTATCCTAAGACTGCCATCTGGAGTGTCCTTGTGTAGGCGTTTAAAAGCTTCAGATGATCTCCCCACAGACAGCCTGCATGAACTCACAGCTATGTGAGTGAGCCATATTAGATGTCAGCCCAATTGAACCTTCAGGTTACTGTAACACCAGCCAGTATTTGGAAATTATCCCATAAATAAACTCAATTAAGAAGTGCCCAGCTGAGCTCTTCAAATTCCTGACCCACAAAATAAAATTGTTGTTTAAAGCTGCTAAATTTTGAGATATGTTCATCTGCAGAAATTGATAATTGGAACAGTAATTAAATTTATAATTAAAACTTTTCACACACCCACTTTCACAGTGTCTAGGTTGAGATGGCTTCATTGGTAAATCCCGCCAACAATTTAAAAAGCAAACATGCAAGCAGTTCCAGAAATCATAATAAAGAACTCAATTTCTATCTTACTCCATTTTGTTATAAAACCTGACAAAGACATGATATTAAAAAAAAAATAAGTTAATCTCACTTTTGTTCATAAATGTGAAAATCCTAAAAAATATATTAAGAAACAATATTGAGTGATAGATAGATAATAAACATATAAATATGCCATGAGCAAACTATTTTCTACTCCAGGAGTGCAACACTGTTTTGACATTGGAAAATCGTAACCCAACATATTAACCAAATAAAGGAGAAGAAAATTGACTATCCCAATCAATTTGGGACAAAATGCATTATAAAATTCAACATGGTTTATGATAAACTGTCCTGGCAACTAATATTCTTAAATTTCTGTTGGGAGTGTAATTATATCTACTGGGGAAAACTATTTTGACATTGTCAATTGTGCACATATGGTTGTCCAGTGGCCCCACATTTTACCTTCTAGTTTTATACTCAATATACATGCACATAAACAATAAAATTCATTTATATAATTTTATGTTTCACCATTTGAAATCTCAATTTGAAAGCAATTGAAATGTTCATCAATATGTGAATGAATGAATATGTTGTGTATTATTCATGCAGTAAAATACTACATAGCAGTAAACATAAACATATACCAGTAGAACAGGGATTAATATCACAAGCAAAACGTTGAAAGACTAAAAGTCAGACACAAAAGCATATACACCATAGGGTACCTTTTTTTAATAACTTCCTAAAGTAACAAATTAATCTATAATTGTAAAATTCAAGATAGTGTTTATAATTGGAGAAGAAGGAGTTAGAAGAGTACAGAGTTGACATGTGGGAGGCTTCAGATATGCTGGCGATGAACCATTTCTTGACCGGTGTTTAATATTTCTTGGGTGTATTTACATAATAACAACAGATGGGATGGTAGGCAAAATAATGCCCCTTTCCCCTGCCAAACATGTCCAGGTCCAAACTGCTGAATCTTGTAAATATGTTAGGTTGCATGGCTGAGGGGAATTAAGGTTGCAAATAGAATTAAAGTTGATAATCAGGCGGTCTTGAGATGGAAAGATTATCCTGGATTATCAAGGTAGGATGGGTTGGGAGATCACAGTCCTTTTAAGTAGAAGAGGGAGGCAGAAGTGAGGAAACCAGAGAGATGGTATCATGAGAAGGACTCAGCCGCATGTTGCTGGCTTTGAAGATGGAGGAATGGTGCCCTGAGCTGTGGAATGTGTGTGGTTTTTAGAAGCTGGGAAAGGCAAGGAAACCATTGCAGAAGGAATACAACTTACTGACCCTTTGATTTTAGCCCAGCGAGATCCACTTCTGTCTTCTCACCTTCATAATTGTAAGATAATAAATTTGTTTTGCTTTAAATCACTAAGACTGTGGAAACATGTTACAGTGATAGAGAGAAATATAGGTTATCAAGCTATGCATTATTTGTACACTTTTTGTAATTAAACATTTTCAATATAAGTATTATACATATACATACCTATATTTTGTATTATCTGAGAAAGCTCAACTACCAAAAGCACTGAAGTGTCCAGAAATGAATGTTTAACAGTAAAATGGAGTTAATTTTTTGAGAAATAATTTGGATAAGAAAGATATACCAATATCAGTGAGAAGAAAACTTGCCTGGTTATTTCCAAACACCGCATAGTAAGCCTAGTAATGACCCACAAAATATTTCCACATATTAAAGATGCGACTGATTTAAGGATCTTAAGATAGGCAGATTGTCCTGGGTTATCTAGATGGGTTCAATATAATAACCAGGATCTTTATAGGAATGAGTCGTCAGGAGGGTCAGAGTGGAGAGAAGGAGATGGTACAACAGAAACAGAGGTCTTAGTAACCATAATTCAAGGACTGCAGGCAGCCTCTAGAAGCTTGAAAAGCCATAGAAACAGATAATCTCAGCACCACCAGAAGTAACACAGCCCTGGGAATGCATTTAGACTGAAGAACACCAGAAGTGCAAGGTGATAAAACTGTGTTTCAAGCCAGATTTGTGGTAATTTGTTATAGCAACAAGGGGATATGAATAAACCCACCCCTAGAATTAGGAAAAGTGCCCAGTGCCAAATTAATTGCTTTCTTGGAGGTGTCTTCTAATTGAGTTTAAGTCTACAGATTGTGAATTCTGGCCAACAAGTTTCACATAACTGACATTTTTAGACAGTTGGCAAGAAGTTTTTCCCCACCCATTCTCCTGACCTCAGATAAATATCTACTGGAGTATTTGGACACATAAATGTAATGAGCTTAGAAAACACAAACACTGCCTGGCACGCAGCCCTATGGCCTCGTATAAAATTCATAGATCAAAAGGTGTCTGCCTTTAAACTTTAAAAAACTCTTTAGAACCTTTTCTGGATAACTTAGTAGTGAGCTTCATGAAGCACTTTTTGTTGAGCTAATGGAACCTTTGATATCTTGAAGAATGTACATTGTTTTCAGGAAGCAGCTGATGAAATATCTCTTACTCTACATGGGACACGAGAGTGGTTACTTACTGAGACTGACTAAAATAATAAATTTGGGGGTGATTTTAAAAAATTTAAGTCAAGACTTCTAACTCATCAGGGGAAAATATTTCATTGGCCTTTAAATGTGCTTGAATCTTGTTGGATTTTTAACTCGCAAGGGAGGTTATAGTTAAGCCTTTTTTTCCTGAGAATTTGAAAATATAAAGAAGTTTATATTCAAATTTTGGCCTTTTAATGAATTATTGCCATTAATTTTTTAGAGTGCTTACGTATTTATCATTAGAGTCATTTGGTGAAATACTGATGGGCTATGCTTTCCAACATGGCTAAACAAAATGTAAGATGAGAAATAGAATAAAAAATTAATTTTCAGACCTGGATACAAATTGTTATTGGAATTTATTCAATTAATACATTAATTTGACCCATTTCAAAGCTTTTTTGTGTCTAAAATTCATTATACCTATTGGTAGTCCCCAGAGAATACTCAAGGGAACATTGATTATAGTTGAGGAAAGGCTCATGAAAATTGGACTACATTTGCCCCAATAAACTGTTCATATTTTCTCAAAGGACCATCTACACCTAGACTAACAATGAGCCATGTGGTTAAATCCAGTATATTAAAAGGAAAACTGCTGAGGTATATGTTACGGAAAATATTGAGATAAAATTATCTCTTACTCTACGTGGGACACAAGAGTGGTTACTTACTGAGACTGACTAAAATAATAAATTTTATTTATTTTATTTATTAAATAAATATAAGTATACAACAAATATATAATATATAACTAATATATATATATAAATAAATATAAATATATGTTGTATTAAGTAAATAAAAGTAAATTAATTAAATTTATTACATAAATAATGTTTTTTGTTTTGTTAGAAATAGCCATTCTAGAAAGCAACCTGAAAGCACTTTAATACACTTATATTTTATTACCTAGGAATTCAAATTATGGGGATAATCTAGAGAAACTTTCATTTGTCCAAAAGTGGACATGCAGGAAGATATTTACCACAGCACTGTTTGCATTAGTAAGTTGCTAGGGGTTATCTAGGTATCGATTTCAAGTGAAGTGTGCTCACATTTACTGGTGCAGTGCTCTTTAGAAGCCAGAAGCAATGAATTAGATGTTTATACAGCAACATGGAAAGATATCAAAAACATAATGTTAAAATGAGAATAGTAAGAAATGTTACATTTTTACTTCTGTTTATTTATATTAAAACTACATATGTAAAATTACATTATGTACAACTTAGGGGTATATTTAGACACTTTAAAATAGTTACATATGAAAAGTAGGTACATATAAGATGGGAGATTAGAAAGTGTTAGTTTACAACATAGATCCCTGGGTCTCACACCACAGACTCATATTTAGTACATTGAGACTGGAACCTAGGAATATGTATTTTTATAAAACAGATTCAATATTTTTATGAATTCTAAAATGGATAATTATGGATAAAGTGATTGTTCAATTAGGAAACTGCTTTCTTCAAATTATTCAAGATTTTCATGCTATAGCTTAATGTGCTTTCAACACTACTCACCTTCCTGTATGTCTCTTCACCTGAAGTTTTACCTATTCTTTAAAGTATAACTCAAAGACTGCCTTCTCCAGGAAACCTTAAATTCCCTCAATTTGAAAGTGGTGTTTCCCACCTTTCAATACTAACTGTGGTGTTAGAAAGTTATCTTATGACACATTTAACATTTTAAATGAGTTACAATAATTTGGCTGTATGTTTTTTCACTTTCTGAATAGGACGCTTATTGAAAGAAGGAACGGTGCCTCAAATATGCGGCTTCTACAATACCTCAAACATTATAGACAATAAATAACTGTTTATTAAGTAGATTAATGAAAGAATTCACTAATACCTATATGTGGCATCTACATATATTGATTTGATATTTTAATTGTCTATAGATAATTTATTTGTGGGGATTTTTGGCTAATAAGTATGTTATACTGAAAATACCATCTTAAACTATACATATTTTGAAATAAATTTGCTTGTTTTCAACTAAATGTTGATCTAAGTAACTTTATGCATAAAACTTATTTATAATATTTCTTAAAAATACATTCCTTTGTACTAGAGTTTTGGGATTGTTTTAATTTTGGAAAGAATAAATACATTTATTCATAGAAGCATAATAGCAGTAAGATGCTAAGATAAATGAAGATAGTAAGAGAAACAGGATTGCTTCAAAATAGGAAAAGCACACAAGAACAATCAGGGAAAAAAAGCATTTAGAAAGTTTAATTTGCATTGGTTATAATTAAAAGTAACTTTCAAAATATTTAACACTTGGAAAGACACAGGCATAAACCAATCAGAATAGAAGCAGTCCATAGCACTGAATCATGATCCTGGAGGCTTTGAGTGTGTATGTGTGCCCGGCATAACTATTTTAATTTCTACATCTGAGAAAGTCCAGATTTGACCAAAATGTAAGCCAAGAAAGGGGGTAGCAATCGCACCAGTAGCTATTTACCAACTGCTATAAACACGTTTTTTATTTGAGTAATTTGTATAGCTGTACCAATGTATATGGGCTGAATAGCAAAACTGATTATGATTAATAACGGTAAAAAGGGGACATGATGAAGTAAACGAAGTATAAAAAATAAATTATATATATTTCACTATCACACTGTTGCAAGGTTGATGACATTTTTTTGGACGAACCTCTACAGTCAGCTAGGTGTTCTGGAATCCATGTGCACTCTGCCAAATCTGGAATCTCAATTGCAGTTTGGTACCATCTTATAGCTGTTGATAGCTTTGGATTATAGACTGATGGGGACAATTCTGTACTCAGTATCTACCTAGGACTTCCAGGAAAGTGGCCACTATTCCTATTATTGGCTATCTGTTTATTCAGCACAATCTTAGATGAATCAGCTGAAAATACAGCGAGGATATAGATACTCATCTACCTTTCATATCCCCAAGGTGCATTTACTTCCCCATCCCTCACCATCTTCTATATATCACTTCTCTCCTCAGAGAACATATAAATATCAGCCACCACTTGAGTCCGTTCAGGGAATAGCAGTCAATCAAAAATATATTTTTGTTCGCATTCATACTACTGTGAGAATAAAAATTAGATGGCATACTTGGTCCTCATATAAACGATACCCTTATTAAAAACCTAACCTGACGCTGTGGTATAAAATAAAGAGCATGGGTAAAAGGAGACTGGTATCCACTCCCATCTCTTACTAGTTAGCCTCATGAATTTTAGAAAGACAGTTAACATCTATGCACTTTAGTTTCTTCATTTATAATAAAGAATAAGACTGCTAAATGAATTTTTGCTAAAGTCAAATAAATTTATATTTCATTTTTCTCTAGTTACGTAATCTTCAAGTCTGCTCTCTTGCCATTTCACATGATTTGCAATGATTTTCATTATTATTATTTTAAAATTTGTTTTCAGTAAAATCACTGTAGGCCAGTCTGCCAACTTTCAAACATCTTAAGAAAATTCAACAGTGATAAAAGTTACATAGAAGGTATTAATCTGAAACTTTTAACTTCATTTTTTTCTCAAGATATTAAACTCACCAATTTTAGTTTGTCGAGTGATATTCCTCAGCCTTTCTAATAGCTAGATATGGCCAAATTGACCAGGCAGCTTCTAAGTTGTGACTTTGATCATTAGAGAAGCATGTTCTTTTCCTCTCCTCTATGTCTGCTGGCTGAAATACATTCATTGGAGCTACCTCACATCACACAGATGAGAGTGACACTCTAGGATAGCTGAACAAAAAGACAAAGACTGTGTCTATAATGATTTTACAGAATTTCTCCATCATTTTGGGGCTTAATACATGAGAGAGAATAAAACTTGCTGTTTTAATGTCAATTGTCTTTTAAGTAGTTTTTATTTACTTGGTTCTGTGATAATCTCATGAGTATGGTATAATTGGAATAATTTACAGATTATATATGACAAGTGCTGTGAGGAATTAACAAGGTGATATGATCCACAGTAAATGGTGGTGAAGATGGCATTTAGGAAGGGAGATGGTAGTAGCCTTAGCAGAGATTGTCGTATAAGGGTAGATAGAAAATGTCAACTTTCTTTGAAGCAAATCTGAGAAGGAAGGTCTGTGAAACCTTTTTTTTTTTTCAGTGTTCCTCTTTATTATTATTATTATTATTATTATTATTATTAAATTTTTCTAAGAAAACATTTAAACAATTGCATTTGAAAATTTTGCACACATTATTTGTAGTTGAAACAATGCTGAATATATGCATTGTACTTTGCCACATTCAGAGAATAATTTGAAAACAAATGACTTGAATGCATTTCAGCTTTTAAGAACTGAGGAAAATTACAGAACCATATGAATGAGATCAAGTGTTTAAAGTGATACACTAATTACTCTGATTTGATCATTGCACAATTTATACATGTATCAAAAAAATCACACTCTGCTCCATAAATGTGTACAATTATTATGTGCTGATTAAAAATCAGATAAAACTTTAAACAAATATTAAGTAGATGAGGTAATGAATATGTTAACTGACCTAATTTAATCATTCCACATTGTATACCTATATTAAAACATCACAGGGTACTCCATAATGTAATACAATGATGATTTGTCAATTAAAAATAATACGTATTTTTAAGTAGAAACCATAAAAATTAGTACACTGAAATATTCTAATATTTTCCTTTCTTCCCCTATATTTACTTTAAACTTTTGTTGCTTAAGTCAGAAGAATGTAGGCAGAATTTCATGCTTTGCCTGGAAAAGTGATGGCTCCCCCTTCCCCAGGCCTAAATCACTCAGGTAGACTGTCTCCTGTCTCCCTCCCTGCCCTCAGTCTTTCTCGTGATCATCCCAGGAGAGTGGAAAAACAGTCTGCAAATAGGTTAGAAATCTCTTTTCTTTGGTGACTCCCTTAAGTTATATACTGTCTGATCAGTCCATATTTAGCCTTAGAAATTCATTAAAAAATATATTGGGAGGCCAAGGTGGGCGGATCACGAGGTCAGTAGATCGAGACCATCCTGGCTAACATGGTAAAATCCTGTCTCTACCAAAAAAAAAGAAAAAATTAGCCGGGCATGGTGGTGGGCACCTGTAGTCCCAGCTACTTGGGAGGCTGAGGCAGAGAAAGGCATGAACCTGGGAGGTGGAGCTTGCAGTGAGCTGAGATCAGGCCACTGCACTCCAGCCTGAGCAATAGAGTGAGACTCTGTCTCAAAAAAAAAAAAAAATTATAGCTCTGTTCCTATCCGTTTCCTCAGAGGCCCTATTTTCCTCCCATGTTTGTCACATGTAAGCCAGTACACATGCCTGGATTCTTCTTTGGCTTCTCTGAAATTCTAGCTATAGGCTCGTCCTATAATGTCATCTTTTTTATGGGTTCAAGGAAAATGTTAATTTTATAGAGCACCTCGCTTTATATTATCATTAGGTTGGGAATGATGGACTTTGCACCTTTCTGCATCCTAAGGTTCAGTGGGAAGTGTAAGTCATTATTAACATGGTTTTAGATTGCATGCTTTCAACTTATTCTTAATTAATACATAGGATCCTAGAATGTTCACAAGTTTTGTTTCTTTGTTCAGCTCAAAAATTTTTACAAGCTTGATTTCTTTTATGTATTTCCAGAAAAAATGAAATTTTTTCTAATCATTTATTTTACTTTACCACTGTAAGATAACCTGCCACTGTTCCCATCTGCTGATTTTAACCCCTTATTTAACATATACTTATTAGATAGCAGTGAACTTAGTATGTTGCATAACCATGTAACAAGCCCAGAAGGCTAACATGCCCATCCAATTACAGACTTCATCTTCCTATGCATTCATTCAATGTGAATGCAGGTTTGTTTTCCCAGATTTTGATTAATAATTAAATACTTCACTATAATGATGCCTTATTTTAAAAATTCAGAATACTTGGCTGGAGTCCTGCCTTTATCCCTAGCCAGTATTGGTGATTTTTCACTCAGAGCAAGATGTAGTTCCCATATTTTTAGCTTCTTTCCAAAATCATAATCAATTAGTATTTTACCTCAGACTATGGATAAATCACTTCTCTTATTCAAGCATTGCTTCATAATACAGACCCCTTTTGACAAGCCTAAACTAATGTGTATGATTCCTCTGATATCATTCTTGGCTAGGTTAATGTCCTTATCACTACATATTTTTATATTTGAAATTGGTTTGCTATCCATCACAAAAGCCCGCACAAAGCCTTCATTTGGTTTAGTCCTAATTCCTAGGGTCATTTCAAAATACCATTGGGGGATACTTATGACATTTCTATTGTAGGTGCAGATTTTTTGATTAAAACTACCAAGAACTACCTATCAGAGCCCTCTGAAGTCAGGACCGGGAAATAAATTTCCATGCACATCAGATGCTTATACAAAACATCCCAACTTAAAAAATTTAAATATTTGTTTGTTTGCTGAATTAAAGATTGTGTCCATGCAGAAGGTTACTTTCTATAATGTTATATTAAAATATTATTGTGACAATTTTTTTTATCTCTACAGTTATGGTCTCAAATGTTATCCTAGGCTTGGGGTTGAGATGTCCTAATTTTTTCTCTCTAAAAAATTTCTCTCTCTGAAACATAGAAATGTATTTCTTCCCTCAATGAGGGAAATGTATACTTCCCTCAATACTTACTAGTCTCTCTTTTTTTTTGCAACAAAACATGTTTTATACTGAAAATAAAAATAAAAATATACTAACTTTTGATGATAGGGTAGAAAGTACCATCATCTGCTCTCTTACATCTTAAATTACAATACTTCTTAAATTAATTGGTTTTATGTGCTGATAAATTAATTCTATACTAAAACCATCTACTTTTCCTTTACCTAAATTTGAGGACATCTCTATAATAATGATATTGGATTTTTATGTTGCTATTTAATCTCATTATAAAACCTCTACAAAGTCATTTTGTATAATGTAGCACGCTATAATGTGGAATGGAATGGAATGGAGAATAAGGAGTAGATTTTCAGACTGTGATACAGAGTGGCCATGAAGTTGACTTAATTAATATTGAGTTAGCTAATGTTTAATATTCTGATCCAACTCAAAGTTCAGAGTCAGTATTAATGGAAAAACAAGAGCATATGGGACAGATATTTGGGAAATAAAATCGACAGGACATGGAGTTGGATTTAATGTGTGCCATGAGAAAGAAGAGGTATCAAGCATGCCTCGTGGCATTCTGATTTGCAAAAGTGGATGACTTACAGGACTCCTCCAGTGTTGCTTTGCCAGCCAGAAATCTCTGCAGCTGCCACTACCTCTGTCCAGGCCGCACTGGAGGCCCACTGGCCTCGCTCCGCTTGCTTGGCCCAGTAGGCTGTGCTTGGCTCACACCTGCTTGGATCCTGTCCCCACTGAGGCTCCACTGTCAGCTTGCAGCTAGACGAGGCATGCCACAAGTGGCTTCCATGTTGGGCACTGGCCTCTGGACAAGAGGAATGCAGTGGCACCCCAAAACTCAGAGATGTCAGCAATCACAGAGCCCCAAGGCATTACAGCTTTTACTCGGCTATTCCTGAGGTTCAAACCCCCAACAGATGTCACAGCTCTTCACTCCTGTAGCTCAGCGAGTGGGAGCGAGTTACAGCTTTTTCTCCTATTTCATCCAGTGAGTGGGAGTGTGTCACAGCTGGTTCTGGGTTCTCATCCTGCTACCAAGAGGAATAAGGTGTGTGGATGCTGGAGAGTGAGTAAGGCAGAGAAGAACTTTATTGAGTGACGGAATGAAACCTCTCAACTCTGAGAGGGGACTTGAGAGTGGGTAGCTGTCTGTGTGGCTGAGTCTAAGGTTTCTGTGGGCTTAGAATGGGGAATGCTTGTTGATTGGTCCATGGGTGGTCTTTGGAAACAGCACCATTTCAATGGCTAAAAGACATCATCCAGAAGAAACCAATCGAGAGAAAGGGTAAGACAGGGATAGAAGTTCTTACTCTGGTTATGGACTCAATATGGAACTGGCAGTTCAGTTTTTAGGCTACAAACTGTCTTTGGCTTGACAGATGGGGTTTCACCAGAGGCTCTTCCCTGTCTGCCTAGGAATTTGTCTGTGTCCCATCACTATGAGATGGACGTGGTTGCCCATCCATGTGGTGCCTAGAAGAAAACATGATTTAGGACAAATGTCTTGGTAATGTGAAGTTTAACTGAGATCTCAAAGTTTAAGTATTAAAAAGCATGTCAAATGTGATCTTGGGAGCTCAGAGATGAAACGTGGGATGGACATATTAAAGTAAAAATTTGGGATACATAAGCAGGCATGACCATCCGGCAAAAGTGTAAAAGTAACAAGTAAAAGAGATTTAGAAGCAAGAAAGATAAATACTTAAAACTCATAAGAGTTAGCCAGGCTTTAAGGGATACAAGAATAAAAAAGGGAAAATCAATGGAAGAGAGTCATTTAAAAAGATAGAGTGAATTAGGAAGTTAAATACTCTAAGAGATCAAATATAATAGGGACAATGTTTTTTGATGTAGAGATATGGAAGTCATTGTTCACCTTAGCAACAGTCATTTGAAAGTAGTGATAGCAGCTGGGTGCGGTGGCTCCCGCCTGTAATCCCAGCACTTTGGGAGGTGGAGTCGGGTAGATCAGGAGGTCAAGAGATCAAGACCATCCTGGCCAATATGGTGTAACCCCATCTCTACTAAAAATACAAAAATTAGCTGGGCGTGGTGGCATGCTCCTGTAGTCCCAGCTAGTTGGGAGGCTGAGGCAGGAGAATCGCTTGAACCAGCGAGGCAGAGTTACCAGGGGGCCGAGATTGCACCACTGCACTCTAGCCTGGTGACAGAGCGAGACTCCGTCTCAAAAAAGCAAACAAACAAAAACAAAAACAAAGAAACAGAGTAGTGATAGCAAACATAGATTGGATTAATGAGTTAGGGGGAGTTTAGTAATGAAGATTGATGATTTTTGTACTTTTTTCTTTAGTTTGGCTTTTAAGGAAAGCAAAGATTTAGAGTGACCACTAAAGGGAAAAGAGGAATCAAGGCCGTCCCCTTAACCCCCTAAATTGTTAGTTGAAAATTATACACAAAAAGAAGGCAAGGACACAAAGAGAGGCAAATGTCCATAGTTAAGGATAGTAAAGAAAAGACTACGAAATAGAGGACAAAGTTGATAGCACAAGATAGAGAAAGGATAAGGAGAAAAGTTACCAAGAACAAAGAATATTGAATAAATTAACAATTATTTATGGATTAATAAATTTGATTTCTTAATAATATTCCAACTTTAGCTACAGGTTTCTTAAGAAATAATACTTAAATCTTGTATCTCATAGTTATTTTAGGTTCTGGTTGCTAACCAATGAGAGAAATAGTGGAGATCAGAGACAATATTTGGAACCCTTCAAATGATATTTTATAAGTTGCCTTCCACTCCAACAACCTCCCTCCTTCCAAGATGGCCTTCATGACCCTTCCCTGTTTTCTATTGCATTTTCCTCCAACTACCTGTAATTTGTATTTTCCATAAATTATTTACAATGTAGCTGTAAATTTTTGCATCTTAAAGAACATATGAGAAGTATGAAAAGTGAAATGAGTTTAAATGTATTCATATTTTAAATGCATGCAGGAAGGAAACATGGAACTAAAAACAGTTGTCAATTCAGGCCATTATATTATCATTTTCATAGAGGAAAATACATCTTAACAGTGTGCTGTTAATATATCAAAATTAAAGATATCACAGTATAATTATTAAATTATATAATAGTTATCAAAATTCTCTTGAAAATTTGTCAAACTGTTAGACAATTTAATTCATTTTATTTCTTTACTCATATTTATGCTATTTAGTATAATTTCTGATTCATTCATTTTCAGAGTAGATCATTAAAACCATCGAAATTAACTTAACAAAAAAGACAGTATTATCTCTTGCTTAAAAATCCAGAGGTAGTCCACAGTTGACAACATGACAAACATTAATTTAGTGGCAACTCATGCTCCTTCTAGCTCCCCCATCTGCCATCTCTTGTAGGTGAACCTCATCTCGATGGCTCAAGTTGACTTTAAGAGCTTTTTTAAGAAAGTGAAGTGGAATGATTTGCCAGAAAAAAATCTAGAGATGCTGTCAACACAGGAGAATGAGAGCATATTTGAGGGCAACTAAGAACCCATATCCCACCATGTGTCTTAACCACCTACATTGTTTCACCTCTTAATCACTGTTTTCCACCTACTCTGTACTTCTTCACTTACTTGAACGTCTTCAAACATTTTTGCCTTGGCTTTCCCAGAATTGCCTGAAAACACATCCTGCAGTTATAGACATGACTTGTTTTTATTAATCAGCAAAAGTATTATTTTTGATGTTTATTCATATTACTTTTGATATTTTTACGTATTTTTTGATACTCAACCATCCAATGTAATATACCACCTCACCATCTGGTCATTCACTTATATGGGCACCCTGCTTTTGTTCCTGACAGCATTAATTTTTAATTATAGATTCAACCAATAGATATAGATACAGATATATCTCTCTATAGATGCATAGACATCAATAGATGCAGATATAGATATATTTCTCTATGAGATGTAGGCATAGACATAAGTACAGACATAGGTATAAATATGCACATATACACATAAACTATTAAAGCTAAAATAAATTTTGCAAATGATCTAACTCATTCTCTTTCTCTTGGATTTTGAGTAAAGAGAGATAATATCCACTGTGGACACACACACACACACACACACACACACACACACACACACACACACACAGAGATGCTTAGTCAGTAGTTAGATATGAACTTTTTCCAAGAGTTCATCAAATCTTAGTTTCCACAGAGCAATGTAAAGAGGGTGAGATGATACCTGCCCATGCAGTGAATTAGAAACAGAGAGGGATCCTGAGCTTAGGGAATCTGAAACCTTTATAATAAACAGTAAACATGCCTCCCCTTTACTCTGGAGAGACACATTTTCTTTATTACGCTGTACAGTTACCATGCCTTCACTTTGCTCAAAAGGACTTCTGTAGGATATGTAAGCCATATTATTAGGGGTTAAAGATAAAGTAGGTTGTCAAGAGGTAAGGAGAGTAAAGGGAATTCTGAGAATGCATTTTGAGGTGATGAATAGGGGAAATAGTGCAGCATTTGTTGAAAGAGTAACCATAATACAGGAACATGTTTTAAAACAAAAGAAATTATAAAGAAAAACCTTCATTTGAAAAAGTGATTATAGGCTGGGTGCGGTGGCTCATGCCTGTAATCCCAGCACTTTGGGAGGCCGAGGCAGGTGGATCACAAGGTCAGGAGTTCAAGACCAGCCTGGCCAAGATGATGAAACCCTGTCTCTACTAAAAACTACAAAAAATTAGTCAGGTGCGGTGTCAGGCGCCTGTAGTCCCAGCTATTTGGGAGGCTGAGGCAGGAGAACTGCATGAACTCTGGCAGCAGAGGTTGCAGTGAGCTGAGATCGTGCCACTGCACTCCAGCCTGGGTGACAGAGTGAGACTCTGTCTCGAAAAAAAAAAAAAAGTGATTATAAAATAATTTCTGACCATGTGACATCTAGTACACCATTTCTACCTAAAAATCTATGCAAAATGTGGAAAACAAATGTTTTGTTTTTTGTGTTTTTAATAGAATTGACTGGGGTAGGATTTAGTCTACTGTGCCAGGAATAATCATTTGTAGAAAACTTTTACATGCTAAAACTCTACATGTACCTATTTTTGTTGTTTTGGATTTTTAGTTAGTGTGCTTGGCTGGATGATTGCTAATTTACTTTGGTCTTTTTTTTTTTTTTTGGCTTTTAGGAAGGGTTCAAAAATACTCCATTTATGATATTTTCTTCTAACATTTGCTTTCCTAAATAGCATTTCACAGGAATTTTGAACTTATTCAGCCTCTGCATGCCTGCAGAGCATTTCCATAAATGGACCTCTTTTTGAAATCAGTGGGATTTAAGCATCTATAGTGCAGCTGCAGGGGTTTGAAAGTGTATAAAGTTTAGTTTATCTTAATTTACACAATACTCCTCAAATTCGTATTTCTCATAAGGGAAAAATTTTCAAATTGACTTTAATTGTAAAGTTGTTATCTGAATTGACACCTGGATAAAGGATTATATTAAAAGAAAATGATGAGTGGGCTAATTTATGATTGTTGGTAATGGGATCCTGTAGGTGGTTATATTTGAAATGGTTCTTATATTATTCCTGAAATAAAACAAAAAAACCTCTTTGGTTAGTACTTAGAAATAATGGCAGTGACATTATATTCTAGAGTTTTCAGGTTGAAGCAGAAATCAAAATGGTCTTAGATGAGCATTTCTAAAAATATATATTAAGAAGTTTATTTACGAAGCTTGTGACTTTATAGCTATCTAATAATTAAATATCATGCATGCTTTGTTTTGCCTTGTATCAGGTCAGTTTCAGGCCATGTTTCTGTCCATTTTAGACTGTTTTTAAATAAAACAATATCAGGAAACTAAAAAAAGGCAACTAATTAAATGTAGTAATTGTGGTTTTACATACCTGGGAAATCAGTGATAGAGGAAATGTGATTATTGCTAGGTAGTCTTTGAAATTTAAAGATGCAATTTATTCTCCAGAGATCATTAAGTTTTTCTCTGTGATATAAGATTTTAAAATTAATTTTGTGGTGAAAAATCTTAAAAGAAGTTTAATCAATATAACCACATGCCAAAGTTAGTTTTTAATCACTTTTATTACGTTCACATGGTTCCTGAGAATAATAGGTGTACATTCAGAATGAAATGCAACAGATTTAAATATATAGGCATGTTTATAGTGAGAGCAATGAATTCCAGGAAATTTGTTATGAATTATGTTTTAAAGGATATTCAGAAATTAACTTCATGTTTAGAGAAGATGATTTTCTTGTCCCTGCAACTCATAAATTATAAAATTATATGACTGTATAATATGGATATGTTCAGTTTGTCCCTTTGGAATAAGAGGAAAGGGAAGAGACAGAGAGAGAGAGAGAGAGAGTTAACAGATACAGAGATGAACATTGATGATTTTGTGTGAATAATATGAGACAATTTGGAAATGAGAACAATGCAATAAAATGTTATATATACAGTTACCTTGAATAACCCTGAACTAGCTAAGAAATAAAACAAAACTTAGTAATTTTTATTGTAGTTTGGGGATTATTTTCTTCCTGGCAGATTTCAACTTTTCTGACTGTAAAAAGTAAAGTAGAGGTTCCTCTTCAAAGACTTTCCTCCCTGTCTAATTAGGAATAAATACTAACTTCTCTTAAAAACAAAATTTATTCAAAGACCTATGCTAACATTCTAAATACCTGCTAGCTGTAATAAAGAAATCAATGTACTTTATATTCTTAGCTCCCACAATTTAGCCTAAATATTTTCCCTGGCATGCTTATACTGGTCCAAGCAAGCATTAGGTCATAGCCTGTTCCTCTTCCTTATCTGAAAGTGTTTTTACCTTTCTCAGCATTCCACAAGTTACTTCCTCCTTCCTTTGATCTCCTCTGCCTTTGCCTCTTTAAAAAAGTTCTAAGTGGTGGCCGGGCACAGTGGCTCATGCCTGTAGTCCCAGCACTTTGGGAGGCCGAGGCGGGCGGATCACGAGGTCAGCAGTTCTAGACCAGCCTGGCCAACATGGTGAAACCCCATCTCTACTAAAAATAGAAAAATTAGCCAGGTGTGGAAGCAGGCACCTGTAATCCCAGCTACTCGGGAAGCTGAGACAGAAGAATTGCTTGAACCCGGGAGGCGGAGGTTGCAGTGAGCTGAGACTGCGCCACTGCACTCCAGCCTGGGCAACAGAGCGAAACTTCATCTCAAAAAAAAAAAAAAAAGTTCTAAGTTGCTAGCCAATCGGGACAAATATAGAATGTGAGGTCCTGTTCCAGCCAATGGAAACCAGACACAGCAGTAGGGGGGATGTGTCAGGTTATAAATGACCCTGTCTCCTTTGTTTGGTATACTCTCGTGGCAAAACTGCTGGTGAGTGTACCCTTTCTGCAGAAAGTAAAAATGGCCTTGCTGAGGAAATTAAATTTATGTTGAAGTGCTATTTCTTTATGGCACTGGGGAACAAGCATTTCAAACATGACAACTTAAAAAAACAACATATTCCATATGGAATGGGTACAACAGCCATTGCTTTCTCATGGAAGCCATTGTTTCCTGAGTATATGTCTTGAAGGTTGTAGGATCTCAAACACATTCAGCGGGGAACTGTGCTATCTTCCTCGTTCCTAGTAATAATGATTATTAATATCTTATGTTTTTATTAAGCACCTACTATGTGCTAGAACTTTCAATGATTATTGTAGTTGCCTAGCTCAGAATTTTGGGATCCAGCAGGCTGGCTCTCTCTTGAAAATGCTGTTGATTTCTTTCTGTATGGTATTGGTAGTAGGGGACTTGAAAAATAGACTGTAAATAAATCAATAAATATTTCTTGTTCTAAATTAGTCTAAATTGGAACTAGACTACTTATGGAACTGTAGAATGCATCAGAGAATTGGGGCATATATTACTTTTATGCCCAATCTAAACTCTGAGAAATAAGCCAAAATGAGCTTTAATTATAAATGGTCAAGAGCAAGTAGATCTTTTTTTTTTTTTAAGCAAGTGAGAAAGACTGTTGGCCTCCCCTTGTTCACCCTACCTATACAGATACAAACAAGAGGAATAAAAGACTGAGGTTTGCACAGAGCCAATCACTCAAATCATTCCATTGATATAAATAAACACAATCTCCCGAGGGTAGCCACATCAGTGGAATGTCACAGTTGCAGACAGCTGTCTAAGTAATCCAAATGTTACAGTTAAAATGTATTTTGCTCAGGAATTCACTATTAAAATGGGAAAAATAAACCAAAACATCAGTAGGAAAGCTGAGCAATGTTATAAAATAAAATGTCAGGTTTCTTTTTATTTGCTTCTAAACAAAAGAAGTTTCAAGGAAAGAAGTCACAGGGTGTAGTTTTATTGTTGAGTTCTAGTGGGGCATCTAAACCTATCATCCAAAAATGGAGGCAGAAAGATTAGCTGAAATGTGCTTTTCTTGCAATTCAAATGGAAGAGCAGAATAGCCCAGGGGAGTCTGATTTAAGCTATTGTATTAAACAAAAGTATTTCAGTTCCCAAGATTAAGCCAATTTAAAGATTATTTGAAAAGCCAGGTCTCCAACTTTTAAATAAAATACTTGAAACTGGATGACTAGAAGAATACCTCATTTTGCCAAGAAGTCCTAAGGGAATGTGAAAGTAATGCACAATTTCCTGAGATAGGTAAATTAAAGCAAACATTTAAATACATAACTATTATAATTTGTTAATGTCCATTTAATAAAATTCAACAGAATATCTTAGGTTTGTGAACTAAAGAAATATACTTTTTTTGCTTGCATTCTGGGTAAAATAAATGTATGGATATTTAGTTTTGGATAATCAGTTGATGATTCTTACAAAAGGAGACTCCAGTTAAGTAGCTCAAGGGTAGATCTGAGCAATTAGCTTTTTAATGATCCCCTGAGTAATTCTGAAGATGGTTGTTCCCAGACCATTTAAAGACAGGTTGACAACATCTCCCCATATTCTCCTCCCCAAAATTTGATTAAAGGGTAGATCTTAAATATTCTTACCTCACACAAACACACAACTGTAACTCTGAGTTGATGGGTATGTGGATTAGTTTGCTGTGATGATTATTTCACAATATATATGTATATCAGAACATCAAGTTGTGCACTTTCGATATGTATGTTTTATTTATCAATTATACCTCAATAAAGCTGAAAAAAGTCAAGAAAAAACAATTCAACTAACATTTTTTCATAGTAAGAGGACAATAAGCATGAAAAATAAATTCATAAACATTCCACAGTTTTTCTGTAAAATGTCACCAAATGAAATTTTCAATAAAGTAACGAAAGATTTAGAAAACAGTTTTATAGACTTAAAATTTTTAGACTAAAATTGTTTTGGTTTAAACATCACTAAAAGGAAAGTAAGTTTTTGTAATATTTTGATTACACACTCTACATAATCATCAGCATTTGACTTTGGACTTATTTACTATTTTTCATTCATTTATTAAATAAATATATTTTGAGGATCTACTAAATTTCAGGGACAGTTTCAGGCTCTGATAATTCTGTGGTAAACAAAAGAGAGGTAGTTACTTTTGCATATGCTAATGTGAGAGAAGACAGAGAGAAATCAACTAGGCAGATAGGGCAAGGGTCCTCAGAAGAATTCCCTTCTAACAAAAAGCAGCCTCTCTTCTGACAAAAAGCAGCCCAAGGGAGTACGTGCAGATATACAGTGGGCCCTAGTAAGCACAGTCCCCTCCCTTCTTTGAAATACTCAAGACGGGGAGGCTCTTGCAGGCGAAGCGCGCAGGCGAAGTGCCTGCAGCAGCACCGATAAGAAGAGCTACCCTGAACCAGGCACATCCACCTTGGAGTGTTCTTCGCCTCCATCTTTTTTATACATGTGCACCAGGAAGAGATAAACAACATGGAGTAACTCAGGCTAAGAAGCCCACATGCGCACTAGAAAGGGTAGGGTGGGAAGTCAGAAATTTGTGCCTTATGCAAATGAAGCACGCCTACCCTCCAGCTTGTCTACAAAAACCCTTGCACTTCACTGTAGAATGGCAGCCCATCTTTCTGGGACCCCTTTCTGCTCCAGAGAGCTCTATTCCTTTTGCTTATTAAACTTCTGCTCTAACCTCATGTTTGGAGGGTCCATGTCCTTGATTTCCTTGGCCGTGAGACCAAGAACTTTGAGTGACATCTCAAACAATGAGGCTGGTTTCATTTTGTGGGGCTTGTCTGGGATTTCATTAAAAGGGTGAGTAGGAGCAGACCCCAACTCTTTACTTTCACTTCTGAGGCCTCTGGTCCTCATTTTTATCAAATCTAGAAAAACACCAGGCATCTGTTGGCCGTTTAAACATGACAAGCATGGCTACTGGCCTAAAGACATAGATGATAGTCTTGCTAGGGAGGACTTAGCTAATCCCCCAGTGCCTTCAGGGTGCTGGGAATGTTGGCTCTGCTACAAACACGTTTCCTATTGTGGAGGGCCTAGCCCTCATGAGGGGCTGAAAGAGGTCTGGAGGCAACTGAAGGTTTCTGGCCGGGGCCACACCCCGGTGTAACCTGAGGCTTCTGGACTAACCCCAGCCCCTGATTGCCTGATGGGTGTTGGCAACAGGACCTCCAAGCTTTCCTATCACAGTTTCCTTCTTTCCTTTTCATGGCTACTGTGTCTCCTATCCCCTCTCTGTATGCAATATTGCGAGAGAAGTTTTACAGCCTGGGGAAATAGTCTTGTTGGGCAGGATTAACAAGTGCCTTAGCAACCAGGAGTATAGCTCAAGAGATTCCTGTTTTGGTTTTATATATATATATATATATATGGAACACATATATATATGTATATATATATATGGAACACATATATATATGTATATATATATATGGAACACATATATATATGTATATATATATATATGGAACACATATATATATGTATATATATATATGGAACACATATATATATGTATATATATATATGGAACACATATATATATGTATATATATATATGGAACACACACATATATATATGGAACACACATATATATATATGGAACACATATATATATGGAACACACACATATATATACACACACATATGTATACATATATATATATATATATTTTTTTTTTTTGAGATGGGAGTCTCACTGTCGGCAGGCTGGGATGTAGTGGCGTGATCTCGGCTCACTGCAACCTCTGCCTCCCAGGTTCAGGCGATTCTCTTGCCTCAGCCTCCCAAGTAGCTGGGACTACAGGCACCTGCCACCACATCCAGCTAAGTTTTGTATTTTTAGTACAGACGGGGTTTCACCAGGGTTGCCAGGGTGGTCTCAATCTCTTCACCTTGTTACCCACTCACCTCGGCCTCCCAGTGTGCTGGGATTACAGGCATGAGCCACTGCGCCTGGCCTGTTTTGACAATTTTTTAGAGACAGGAGGCTTTCACAATCCAGGTCTAAGGGATCATTTAACTCCCAATGATGACACTTCCTGAGGTTGGACAGGGGGCTATTTCCCTCCCAGTGAGTGGCCCCCTCTTCATTTAGGCTGTTTATTTTCCATGTGAGGAGCCAGCCCTGCCCAGTTCAACTAGATAGACTTTGTATGAGGCAAACTAACTTTCTCCTATTGGGAGGCATGTTGTGGGGACAGCCTGTCATGCTTCAGACCTCTCTCTCAACCCTTAATCTGGAGAGCATTTGGAAACAAAGCTACAGCCTAATATTTCAAGGTTTACAACAGCCACCTAGTGGAATGGGAATCTTCTTCATGAGGGACCATGTCGGCTCTTTGCCAAAACCCTCTAATTTCCCAACTCTTCTCCTTATTGAGCCCTTCCACTAGAGACCAGGCCTTATGCCTTCTCTGTGAACAGGAAAACCCTGCCTGTGACATGGAGGAGCGAGACGTCCTTCTAATCCAGATTTTGGTCTCAATACCATCTTCATCAGCAGAAAGACAGTCATTTGATCCTTACGTTCTTTTGAGACACTTATTCTGCCTCCAACTGGAATGGCATTTAAATAGAGAAGGGATTCTGTGTTTGGAAGTCAATCAGAACAATGGCCTAAGGATAGATACTTTAGCATGGGCCATAATAGCAGAATATAAGACCCAACCCAGAATACTCCTGTCACTGAGGGGCCTGCCCAGATGCAACTGTTAGGTAGTCTCTCCTGAGATTCATCTATAGGGGGGACATGCTGGCCACACAAATCTGAGGAATCAAAGGGGAATTATCAGGGGAGGACTAGGGTCTCATGCAGGTAAGTGTGACTATTACTGCCTGACCCACGCCCCCGGGTCCATGGATGGAGGTCACACTTGCATCCCTGGGCAGCACCATTAATGGCTGCCAGGGCCCAGGGAACAAAGGAAGGAGGATAGTAGGGGGGATGCCCCCACTACTTTCCCCCCAACTTGGGTCACTCCAAAAGGAAAGAGAAGACTAAGGGATGCCTTTCCTTCCCTCTACCTCTTTCTAAATGGGTAGCAAACCATCTTTAGCCTACACCCTCTTGAGTGCATTCTGAAGCACTGAAACTCCTTTGATCCCAAGACTCTGAAGAAAAAGCGGCTCACATTCTTTTGCACAAGGGCATGGCCTTTTTACTAGCTTGGGGACAGACAAACCTGGCCTTCTGAGGGAAATCTTGATTTTAATATTATCTAACAATTAGATTTTTCCTGTAGACGGGAGGCAAATGGTCCCCTATGTACAGAATTTCTTTGCCCTGCAGGACAACCCAGACCTCTGCAAGTGATGCATAATTGACCCAGCTCTTTCAGCAGTCATATCAGGCAGACCCATGGGGAATGATTCCCCAAAGCTAAAAAAACAAATCCCTGGGAATCTTCTGAGACAAAAATTAAGTATCTCAGCAACTCTTGTTCCCCTTATCCAGGGCCCCTTCCTCCAACTGCACCTTCAGCTCCTCCAGTTCCACCACTTCCAAAACTCTCCACTTCCCCAGCTATGCTTTTACCTCTGCAAGAAATGCCCAGTGGACATGGTGCCACTAGGGTTCAGGCACCTCGCTCATTGCAAGACCTTACACGAATAAAAGAATACCTGGGTAGGTTCTCTGATGACCCCAACAAGTAAATAGAGGCTTTCCAAAATCTAGGCCTGGCAGATGACCTCACATGGAGAGGTGTTATGTTACTCTTAAACCAAACCCTAATAGCTGCTGAGAGGCAGACAGCTCTGCAGGCAGCTGAAAAATTTGGGGATGAACAACATGTTTCTTACAGCAGGCCAAAAAGGAAAATAGGAGATGATACGGAAGGTGAGGGAATTATGGAACAACCATTCCCAATAGGGAGAGAGGTAATACCCCTTGAAAACCCTGGCGGGGACCCTAGTGACCTCACAGGTGAATGGAAAAGAAAACACTTTTTAATGTGCATATTGGAGGCCCTATGAAAAACTAGGGTCAAACCTCTTAATTACTCTAAGCTGTCCATGATAGATCAGAAACCAGATGAGAATCCCTCAGCTTTCATGGAAAGGCTGAGGGAGGCTTTAACAAAACACACTTCCCTGTCTCCTGACTCAAATGAAGGACAGCTAATCCTAAAGGACAAGTTTATTACTCAGACAGTCCCTGATATTGGAAGAAAATTACAGAAACAGGCTATAGGACCAGATAGTACTCTGGATAGCCTCCTTAGAGTAGCCACCTCAGTCTTTTACAGTAAGTATAAGAAGGAGGCCCAGGAAAAAGAGAGAAAGCACAAGAGAAGAATGGATTCTCTGGTGGCTGCTTTATAGGCCTGTCAAGTCCAGGATACCCAAGGTGAATCCACTAATTGCTATCGGTGTGGGAAACCATGGCACTTTAAGGACTGTCCAGGTAGTAAGAAGAAGCCACCTTGACCCTGTCCAGCCTGTGTCAGTGGCCACTGGAGGTTGGACTGCCCCCAGAGGCATAGGTAACTTAGTCCAGAATTGGTCTCACAAATGGTCCAGCAAAACTCACAGGTCCCGGGGCTCAATTCCCTGGCTCCAGTGGCCCAAACTGCCATTACTGCACAGGAGCCCTGGATGATTCTGGAAATTGAATCAGATTCTGGAAATTGAATCAGATTCTGGAAATTGAATCAGGTGGGTGGGCCTCCTTCTGGACACTGGAGCCAGTCTCTGTTCTCTTCTCCAATCTAGGCCTCTCCTCTTCCCATATCACGACCGTGAAGCACACCTCAGAAAGGTTCTAACCCAATGTTTTTGTCAACCCTTTAGTTGTAGCTGGGGGGACCTACTATTTACACATGTCTTTTTAGTCATGCCTGAGAGTCCCACTCCCTTATTAGATAGAGATCTTTTAGCTCACAAGGGAACCAGCATCCATATGGCCCCAGGACAAACTCTTTGTCTTCCCTTGGTAGAAACCAGTATTAACCCAGAGGTATGGGCAAGCCAGGAGAAAACTGACCAGGCTATAACCACTATACTGATCAAGATACATCTTAAGGATCCCACTTCTTTTCCTAACCAAAGACAATATCCCCTGAAGCCAGAGGCTAGAAAAGGGCTAGAGGTCATTATTAATAATCTGAAGAAGCAAAGCCTCCTCAAATCCTGCAATAGCCCATGCAACACCCCAATATGAGGGATGCAGAAACCCAATGGGGAATGGAGACTAGTTCAGGACCTCTGCCTCATTAATGAGGTCGTAGTCCCAATTCATTTAGTAGTCCCTAATCCCTGTACTTTGCTAACCCAAATACCTGAGGGAACTAAATGGTTCACAGTGCTAGACCTAAAGGATGCCTTTTTCTCAGGAAGACACTGAGGCCCTTCTCCATTTCTTAGCTAATAGGGGATATAAAGTTTCAAAATTCAAGGCGCAGCTTTGCCAAACCTCAGTGAAGTACCTGGGTTCCGTATTATCTGAGGGAACCAGAGAATTGGGAGAAGAAAGAGTTAAGCCCATTTCGTCTTTCCCCCTCCCTAAAACCCTCAAGTAGCTAAGAGGATTTTGGGGCATTACAGGATTTTTCCCCAGGTATGGCCGTCCCTCATACCAACTAATAAAGGAAACTCAGGCAGCAAGACTCATTCCTTGATTTGGGATCTGGAGGCAAAAAGAGACTTTAACCTGTTAAAACAAGCCCTGCTTGAGGCACCAGCCCTTAGCCTTCCGATAGGGAAGACATTCAGTCTTTATGTGTCAGAAAGAAAGGGAATGGCCCTGGGGGTTTTAACTCAGACCTGTGGACCAGGTAAACAGCCAGTGGGTTACCTAAGTAAGGAACTGGACCTGGTGGCTAAAGCATATCTAGTCTGTCTCCAAGAAGTTGCAACAGTGGCCCTACTGGTGCCAGAAGCCACCAAATTAACCCTGGGGAATAGCCTGTTTATATCCACATATTGTGTTAGGATTGCTGTCCTCTAGAGGAGGCCTTTGGCTAAGAGACAGCCACCTCCTTAAATACCAGGCTCTACTACTAGAGGGATCTGCAGTCCAACTAAAAACTTGAATCCAACCACCTCCCTCCCAGAGGAAACTGGGGGACCTGAACATGACTGGGAGCAAGTTATAATACAAACCTATGCAGCCAGGGAAGATCTCAGGGAAACTCCCCTAGAAAATCCAGACTGGACCGTCTTTACAGATAGAGCTCCTTTGTGGAACAGGGAGTCCATAAGACAGGGTACACAGTAGTCACCCTGAATAGTATCATTGAAAGCACGTCTCTCTCACCAGACACAGGTGTCCCATTAGCTGAGCTGATAGCTCTTGCAAGGGCTCTTGAATTAAGCAAAGGAAAAGCAGCTAACATTTATACAGATTCCAAATATGCCTTTCTTATCCTCAGTGCTCATGCCAACATTTGGAAGGAGAGACACTTTCTCACTGCTAATGGGTCTCCGTTAAAATACGATCAGGAAATTAACAGGCTGTTATCCTCAGTTTTCCCTCCATGAGAAGTAGCAGTAATGCATTGTAAAGGATATCAAAAAGGAACGGATGGAATAGCTGAGGGAAACAAGTTAGCCAACCAGGCAGCCAAGTCAACAGCACAAAAGCCTCAGGGTGCCAACACCCTTGAAGCCCCTATAATCTGGGAAGGCTCCATGAGGGAAATGAAGCCTCAGTATTCCCGTGCAGAAAGAGAATGGGCCACTTTTCAGGGATGCAATTTCCAGTCCTTAGGATGGGTGCAGTCAGAGGATGGCAAACTCCACTTGCCAGCCCCCAACCAGTGGAAGATCCTAAAAACCCTTCACCAAACTTTTCATCTAGGGAAGGATAAAACTTGTCAATGAGTCCAAAGATTATTCTCAGGGGAGAACCTACTAAAAACAGGTTAAGCAGGTTGTTAATGCTTGTGAAGTCAAGTCTTAAGAACGACACCCTCAACAGACAGCTTCTCCCACCTCCAGCTCAGAGAATGGTAAGTTATCCAGGGGAGGACTAGCAAATAGACTTCGTCCATATGCCAAAATCAAGGGGCACTCACTACCTCCTGATGTGAATGGATACCTTCACTAACTGGGTGGAAGCATTTCCATGTCGAACAGAGAGGGTCTCCAAGGTAGTACGAGTATTAATCAGTGAAATAATTCCCCATTTTAGACTCCCTAAATACCTCCAAAGTGACAACGGCTCCTCATTTAAAGCAGCTGTTGCTCAGAGTGTCTCAAAGGCACTGGGCTTATGCTATCATCTCCATTGTGCCTGGAGACCCCAGTCCTCGGGAAAGGTAGAAAAAACTAATGACATTATCAAAAGACACCTCAGAAAGTTATCTCAAGAGACTCACCTACCCTGGACTACTCTCTTTCCCATGGCCCATTACAAATAAGAAATATCCCTTCAAATTTAGGTTTAACTCCTTTGGAAATGTTGTATGGGTGACCTTTTCTTACCAGTGATTCCTATTAGATCAGGACACCTCTGAATTGGTCAAACATATAGCTTCCCTGACCCACTTTCAACAGGAGTTGACACAGCTAACAGAGGCCAAGTTGCAGGAAATAGGACCACCTTTATTTAATCCAGGAGACTTAGTACTGGTGAAGGCTCTCCCTTCTCTTTTCCCTTCTCTAGACCCTATTTGGGAAGGACCTTATACTCTTTTCTCTCCACCCCCTTGGTGGTAAAAGTTGCAGGAAGTGACTCTTGGATTCATCACACTTGAGTCAGAGCCTGGAAGACTGTGGGAGAAGCCCCAGACAATCCAGAAGAATGCTCTGAATATCACTGTGAAGAAATAGGAAATCTTAAATTGAAAATCACCAAAGATAAGCAAATACCAGATACATTCTGTCATTTCTGCCTTTCCTCTCAAAATTACTTCGTAGATCTCTAAAGGGAAATTCTATATCCTGGTGAGTAAAATTTTAGATGGAAATTATTTACTATGCCACATTTGTGGGAATTGCTATACTTACAATGCTATTTGCAATAGGACTATGCACTGTAGCACCCTCTGAGTGGAGTTTTGGACAGAGAGCCTCTATTGCTGTAGTATATTGTTTAGTTGTCTTTTTTATAGAGGGTCTTTATCTTTCTCAAGATGGCCACCCACAGCCTGTATATATTAGGAATTAGCCTCATCATGCTACCAGGTTTTGCTGTACCCCTCCAACAATTAATAAATTAAGGGTACCTTTTAAAGACTTTAAATCTAGCACAGAAGTTGTTAAACACCACCAACCAAACTTTGGCAAGGGACTGCTGGCTTTGTCTATCATCCTCATCTCAATACACGGCCATCCCAGTCCCAGCCAGATATTGTGCACTTAATAAGATGACCTATTACCCCAAATACAAGGGGGAAGTCCCCTTTATGGTAATGAACTTGAATAATTTGTATAACTTTCAGATTAATGAGATGACAAGGGTCACACTAACAGGTCAAGCAGTAAACCTTCTCCAGTCCTATCAAGGTAAAGTTTCTAGGGTTGTATCCCCCCCAAAACCCATTTGGGGCCCAATATCAACATACACAGAAATAAAGTTTCAAGCACCACTTTGTATTATGAGAAGCCAACATTTTTGTCAGGACCTGGGGACCTTAAGAGGACATCAAAGCAACTAAACCCTAGAGATTAACCCCTCGCATGATCATGTAAACTACATGTTTTCCCAAACGGCACCATTTAGAAGACCTGTACAATCCTCAGGGAGACCATCCATAAATAAGGGGACTTTGAGGGGTGTGCAATCTGGGTATTGTATAAATAGACTCACTAGTTGTGTTCACATTTTCCCTTGGGAAGATTGTACAACCGCTGAGGTATCTTAGTGCCTGTTAGTTCCCCAGTATGAAGAAACTTCTGAGTGGCTGCTGGTGGATATCAAATGCAACTACCTACACTGGGAAAACAAAACTGTTGGGGTAAAACAGGATATTTCCCAGGGTCCTTTCCAACCTTTAACTGGGGCCACCTTGGCAGGAACCCTAACCACCTTGGAAAATTAAAATTGCAAACTAACCTATATATTCTCCACAGAAAATAATTTCTGCCTTGAAAAACAAGAGAGTCTTCTTTCTGTGCAGAACCAACTCCTACTTATGTTTACCAGCCAACTGGACTGGAAACTGTATGCTTGTTTACCTAGCTCCTGAAATTAATATAGCCCCCAACAACCAATCCCTTAGCATAAACAAGCTATCCAGTTCATACCCCTTTTGGTAGGATTAGGAATCGCAGCAAGTGTAGGGACAGGAGTTGGAGGATTTGCAACCTCTCTACCCTACTATCAAGACTTGTCCAAAGATTTTACAGAAAGTGTAAAGGACATTGCCTGAACCATTAATGCTATACAAAATCAAATAGATTTCATGGCAGCAGTCACTCTATAAAACAGGAAGGGACTAGACCTCCTAACTGCTGAAAAGGGTGGCCTATGCCTCTTTCTAGAGTAACAATACTGTTTCAACCAATCAGGGATAGTAAGGGTTGCCACCCAAAAATTAGCAGACTGGGCCTCTAAGATATGACAACGGCAGTCTGAGTCATGGGGCTCTTGGTCTAAATGGCTGAATTGAGGATCATGGCTCCTTTTTTTGTCAGGCCCGCTATTAATGATTGTACTAGTTTTAATTTTTGGACCATGTTTGTTAAACCTTCTAACCAGATTCATCTCTCCTTGGCTAGAAGCTATCAGACTCTAAATGGTGTTACAAATGGAGCCACACGTGGACACTCCATCCTACCTAGGACCTCTAGATCGACCTCAGGAGGAACCCTAGCTGCTGTTTCCCCACTCAGCGATCCTCTCCAGCAGGAAGTAGCTAGATGAGTCATTGCCCAAACTCCCTAACAGAAGTCAGGGTCTCCCCTCCTGAAGGGGGAATGTGAGAGGAGAGAGAGAGAAATCAACTAGGCAGATAGTTACAGTAAAATTCTTTTCTAACAAAAAACAGCCTCTCTTCTGACAAAAAGCAGCCCAAGAGGTCATTTCTCCTTCAGCAAAGAGCAGCCTTAGATATTAGGCTGCAAACACAGATAGCGAAGGCAAGCTCTAACACAGAAAGGGGCCTCCTGTGTGACATACAGATATACAGTGGGCTCCAGTAAGCACAGTCCCCTCCCTTCTTGGAAATACTCAGACAAGGAGGCTTGTGCAGGGGGAGTGCCTGCAGCAGCACTGATAAGAAGAGCTACCCTGAACCAGGCACATCCACCTTGGAGTGTTCTGCCCCCCGCCTTTTTTACACATGTGCAGCAAGAAGAGGTAAACAACATGGAGTAATTCAGGCTAAGAAGCCCGCATGGGCACCAGAAAGGGTGGAGGTGGGAACTCAGAAATTTGTGCCTTATGCAAATGAAGCGCCACTCCCCTTCAGCTTGTCTATAAATGCCCTTGCATGTCACTGTAAAATAGCAGCCCATCTTTCTGGGACCCCTCTCTGCTCCAGAGAGCCTTCTTCCTTTCGCTTATTAAACTGCTCTATCCTCATGTTTGGAGTGTCCTTGTCCTTAGTGTCCTTGGCTGTGAGACCAAGAACTTCAGGTGACACGTCAGACAATGAGGCTGGTTTCACTAAGGGGAAAAATAATTTAAAAGTAATAGGATAAAAAAGAAAAGCAAACACCACATGTTCTCACTCATAAGTGAGAGTTGAACGATGAGAACACATGGACATAGGGAGGGGAACATCACACACCGGGGCCTGTCGAGGGGTGGGGGGCAAGGGGAAGGAGAATATTAGGACAAATACCTAATGCATGCAGGGCTTAAAACCTGGGTGAAGAGTTGATAGGTGCAGCAAACCACCATGACACATATACACCTATGTAACAGACCTGCACATTCTGCGCATGTATCCCAGAACTTAAAGTAAAAGAAACAAAAAGAAAAATAATAATAAAAGCAAATAATATAATGTAGCCTCTATTATTTAAAGTCATCAACATAATAGAATATGTGGAGGAGTATTTGACATAGGGCAGTCAGATGTGGTTGTTAGAATAGAGAGTTAAATAATCAGATATAGCCAGATTTATGAAGGTGTTAAAGGGCAGTGGGTGCTAAGCAGAGGACTGTGATTGTCTTGTTAGAAAACCTAAAAATGCCAGTGTGACTGGAAGGTAATGAGCGAAGGGAAGTGAGGTAAGGGTATAGAGGAGAGATGAAGAAGAAGCAAAATTACCCTAAGAAATGTTCTGAAGTTAAGTTTTCAGAGGATACAGGAAAAATAGGAAAGAAGTAAAATATGTCTCCCTTAGGTTTTTGTCCTGGGCAACTGAGTGAATGGTACTGCCATTTGATAGTAGCAGACTGGGACAGGTAGAACCAAAAAAGGTTGTTTAGGATGTGTCAGTTTAATACGGCTCTTAATAAAAGAGGCCAGATGGCAAGTAAAAAGGTGAATATAGAGTCTGGTGACTGCAGGAGGTGCAGGACAGAACCTGAGAAAAAATTGAGAAAAAAAATCAGGAAACATGCTATGTAAAGCACGGAACTGAGTTTTATTTAGAAGCTTGATATATAGAAAGGGGAAGGAGTAAGGAAAAGTAATCAATAAAGAGAATCACGAAGAAGTGGTCAGTGAGGTAGGCGAATCACTAGAAGTGAATTGTGTCCAGGAAGTTAAGTGAGGAAAGTTAAGTGCTTTTCTATTACAAAAGCACAGGCTGAATTAATATAACTCTCCAAAAAGTACTAATGTGGCACTGAGCTTGCAAGAAAAAAAAAAAACAAAACCGTCAAGATGCCAGAAATAAATGGAAACACAAGGAAAATCAGAATAAGCAAAAACTGACACTATACTACCCAATAAGGATTTTGACACTTATATGTGCTCCACTTCAAGGGGTCTAGGATTTCATTCTCATAATTGGACAGAATGTGTTTGTTCAGAACTAAGAAGTATGGGAGAGAACACTGTATAAATCATGGAATTTACAATTTTCTACTAATCTGTGAATGTAAGACTCAAGAAAAATTAGAAAACATACATACAACTTTAAAGTAAAAATAAATCAGTAGTGAAAAAAATAACAAAAACAAAATGACTGAGTTAGGGTGAAGTGAGAAAAAAATCATTAGTCCCAGATATATTTAAATGTGTTTTACCAAACTTTCAAGCAACAGTACTTCTTATAATATGTCATAAAAAACAAAAAGAAAAAAACCTGTTGTAATACTATCCCATTACTTTTATGACAGTAATACAACGGTGATGCTTGGAAGTGAAGAGTTAATGGCATTTTCCACCTCTTCCTAACCTTCTTGATAACACTCCAATGCAATTTTTTGGCAATCACATGACCTAGGAAATTGTTATGTAAGGATGTGCTTTGTATGTTTAGATATGTTATTGCAAATAAACCTGGAATGTATGGACTTATGCGACTCAGCTGAATGAACAATGGCTGATACATACAGGTAGGTTCTCTACCTGTATGACTACTTACCTGAGTCTGTTTTAAAAATTCAACCGTTGGCACTACTGCAATGCCAAAAGCAGATAGTATAAAATAGAAAAACAAATTAGTTACTAACTTATATGAAAAAAATTCTACATTGAATGTTATAAACCGGAAAAATGCAAAATACTACACACACACACACACACACACACACACACACATCTATAATGACCAAAAGGACTTACCCAAAAATAATACAAGAATAACATGTCATGAGAAACCCCAACTATGCAACATTTGTACCTTCTCTGTATTCTAACACTAGCAGCTAAACAAGGCTGTTGAAAAACTTTATGTCTCTTGACTGGACTCCATTTAAATTGTTACCATACATTTCAAGGGGAAACTCAGCATCACCTGGCAAAAATGCTACAGTTCCCTGAAAAAATTCTCTCTTCCACTTTCCAAAAGGACTATTTCATTCCTATTCTTATATTAACAAGCCCTGAATGTTGTCTTCTCCTTATTTTGAGTTGAGAAATTCTCTTAATTCATTGGTAAAATAAAGCAACCTACTCATCTGTAACTCTTCATTTAAACTCCCACCCATACTATTAGAAGGAATGTGTTTGCCTATCATATTGTAAATATTTTGCAGTCATTCTTATTCCACATTATGTTTTTGAAATGAATTTATAGCAGTATACATAGAGTTGGTTTATTGATTTTAGATTGAAATACTCTTCTGCTGAATAGATACTTGTGAATTTATTATTCCATACGACTGCTGATAGATGGTTGCATTGTTTGCATATCTTCTCACATGGTTAAGAATGCTACAGTAAACATTCATATGCTTGTCTTCTTGTCCATCTATAACAAATATTTTCTGAGGGTAGATTTTTTTGAAGTGGAATTACTGAATTCCAAAGTATGCACAGTCTCAAAACTTTCAAATCAAATTGATCTCCAAAATAGTTTTATCAAATTACATTATGAAGACCAGTATAAATGACATATTTTCCACATGTTATGTTCAGCACTAGTAAAACAAATAAGTTATCAGACTTTAAATCTTGCATCTCAGACAGGCGTGCAGCTAATTCTAGTTCTAATTTGAATTTCTCTATTAGCGATGTTGTAGTATCCTTTCATATGTTTGTCGTCTGATTTCCTCTTTAGTAAATTGCCTGTGATGTCTTTTGCCATTTTTTTCTCCTGAAAATGTTGTTTTAGTTTTTAAACTTTTAAAATTTTTACATATTGTCCACTGAGTGTGTATAAAATGTACCCATGTAGCATTACCAATTTGCAAAGCAAGCATCCACATAACCTCTCTGTACTTTTGTTTTTCCTGATTTTTATTTTATAAGAATTAAAATATTCAGTTAGTATTAATTTTTTTCTCTCTTCTTATACTCAGCATAACATTTAAAAAATTTACCCAAGATTTTTTTGTAAATATAGTTTTTGTCTTTTTTGTGGTTGGATATTTTCTTGTATGAATGCATTATTATTTTTTCATTTTATTCTTGATCTTATTTTGGGTTTGATTTAGTTTTATTTACCATAAACATACTTGTAAATATATCTTGGTGAAAATAAGCATGGCTCTGCAGAATAGATGTTTAGGGTAGAATTGCTGAATCTGAGAGTATATGAATTTTCAGTTGTATAAAATAACACCCTTTGTGTGTTTTCTGCTGATGTTTGTTTTGGCTTTCAAAGCCAAACTATAACTCTTCTGGCTTATTTATATTTTCACTGTCACTATAAGTTCTGGTTGCTCCAAATCTTTTCCATCTTCGTATTGTCAGATTTTATATTTGTTTAAATTTTAATTTTTAGTGGTATCTATTATATAGTTTGGTTGTGTCTCTACCCAAATCTCATCTTGAATTGTGGTTCCCATAATCCCCTCCTGTCATGGGAGGGACCTGGTGCAAGGTAATTGAATCATGGGGGCGGTTTCCCGCATGCTATTGTCGTGAGAGTGAGTAAGTTCTCAGAAGATCCAATGGTTATAAGGGGCTTCCGCCTTTTCTTGGCTCTCATATTCTCTCTTGCCACCCTGTGAAGAGTTGCCTTCCACCATGATTATAAGTTTCCTGAGGTCTCCCCAACCATGCGCAACTGTGAGTCAAACCTCTTCTCTTTATAAATTACCCGGTCTCAGGTATTTCTTCACAGCAGCATGAGAACGGACTAATACAGTCTAATTGTGGGTTTACTTTGCATTCATAAATTACTAATTATGCTTATCTTTTTTAACATTTGGCTATACATATGTGTGTGTGTCCTCTTTTCTGATACAATCTTTATGTGTTCCTACTTTTCTATCTTCCTCATTCCCTTTTTCCCTTCCTCCATCCTTTTCTCCTTTCTTTTTTCTTCCTTTTATTATTTCTTTCCTGCAAATGTCCCTGTTATCTATTTCTAATATATTTTAACTCAAAAATATTATAAATGTATTGCCTTTAGCAGTTATGTGTATTGAAAATACCTTTCCCACTATATAGCTCATTTTTCACTTCTTAAAAATATTGCTGAAATTCATACTCTTAATGTGGTCAAGTTTACCTACTTTTTTTTTTAACAAATAGAGGGAGTTTTATTGATTATATGAGCTGTGCAGAATTGCTGTGTGTGTGTGTGTCTGTGTGTCTGTGTGTGTGTATCTATGTGTTACTAGTGTGAAGTAGTGGTCCTTGATTTCCGACCTTTCCTAACTGCTCTGCAGTTCTTTCTTTTTCATATATCAACATTTTATATGTACATGATACTGGCTTTTTAGTTTGCTTTATTATTCTTGTGCAAGGAACATCTTAATTGTTCTTGACCCTTCTTAATAGGTCAGATAGCAAAGATTTTACACTGTGGGCCATACAGTCTTTGTTGCAACCTGGTGTAGTATAGAAGCAGCCACAGACAAGACATAAATGAATGGACATGGCTATGTTCCAATAAAGCTTTACTTTTAAAAAAGGGGTGCCTTGCCTGTGAGCCAAATGTTGCCAACTCTCAGTTTTGTCTAACCTTAAAGTAGTATAACCCTATACTACTTTAATGGTATCTAATTGTGGGTTTACTTTGATTTATTACATACCTTAAGTAGTAACTTTATTTATTACTAAAGTTACTACTTTAGGTATGTAATACCTATACTAGGTATGTAATTACCTAATATTTAAAGTAGTAACGTTAGGTATGTAATAAATATTTCCATCTGGTAAAGTTTTCTTAATATATGTTCTTTCAGAACATCTGGGCTAGACTAAAAACATTGTATTCCTATAAAAATTATAAAATCAGCATATCAAGTCTCTTCATCCACCCTCCAAAACCCTATAGAGATTTCACAGAGATTGCAATGTACCTGTATTTTCATTTTTTGTAAATTGACATCTTGAGTTTTTAAATTCATGAACATGGTATATTTCCCCATTTATGTTGGTTTTCTGGAGTATCTTTAAGTAGTTATATAGTTTTCTTCTTCTATGCCTTGCGCATATTTTCTTAGATTTATTCAGAGGCACAAAATATTTTGATGCTATTTTAAGTAGTTTTGTTTTTAATTTCCAACTATTACTACTATATGTAAATAATAACTCATATCTAATAGAGATCTAAAATCCTGCAACATAGCTAAATTTTGACATGAATCTAATATTTTATTTGTAAATACTCGGGATTTTTAAACGTAAGTATATAATTTGTGAAATTTGCATATTATAACTGAAAGTTTTATTCCTTCTAATATCTGTGATATTGTATGGATTTTGTCCCCTTCAACTCTCATGTTGAGATGTGATTCCCAAAGTTGGAAGTGGGTCTGGTGGGAGGTGATTGGATTACAGGGGTGGATGCCTCGTGGTTTAGCACCATGCTCTTGATGATAAGTGAGTTCTCACTGAGTTCATGCAAGATCTGGTTGTTTAAAAGTATGGGACCTCCCCTTGCCTTGTTCCTTCTTTCACCGTGTGGGACACCTGCTCTCCCTTCACTTTCCACCATGATTATAAGATTCCTGAGGCCCTCACCAGAAATAGATGCCAGTGCCATACTTTCTGTACATCATACAGACCAGTGAGTTAATTAAAACTTTTTCTTTATAAATTATCCAGTCTCAGGTATTCCTTTATAGTAATGCAAACAGATAAACACAATCTGTAAGAATTATCATTCTTTATTTCCTTGGATAAGACCTCTAATACAATATTGAATAGAAGTGATAATATGACACACATCTTTTTTTCAGTCTTAAAGAAAAAGCTGGCCAGGCACAGTGGTTCATGCCTGAAATCCCAGCGGCTCGTGCCTGTAATCCCAGCACTTTCAGTGGCTAAGGTGGGAGGACTGCTTGAGCCTAGGAGTTTGTGACCAGCTTGGACAACATAGTGGAGCCCCATCTGTACAAAAATTTAAAAATTAGCTGAGTGTTGTGGTTCACACTTGTAGTCCCAAGTACTCTGGAGACTGAGGTGGGAGGATCTATTGAGCCTGGAATGTTGAGGCTGTAGTGAGCCATGATTGTCCCACTGCATTCCATCCTGGGCAACAGAGCAAGAGTCTGTCAAAATAAAAAAGAAGAAAAAAAGAAGAAAGATTTTAATTATTTTTATCAACAATTATACATTTTCAGTAGGTATATTATTATACAATTTAATTCAGGAAGTCTTCTTTTATTCCAAGTTTGTTAACAGTTTTTATAACAAATACAGGTTGAATTTTGTAAATGACTTATTTTGTATCTACTAAGATGATCATTTTATTTCTTCTGTACTCTGTTAATATGGCAAAGAATTTATAATGATATTTTAATATTAAATTAAATTTCCAGAGGCTTATGGTTTCTGCTAAAGATGTAAATAGCTAGAATGCTATTCACTCCCAATCTTAGCAAAAACAAATCACATTGAATGTATCATGAGATTATCCTATAGCTTCCATAGGCCAGCTTTCAGGATTACTGCTGCTTCTTTGAAATTCATCCGTGTTTTCTTTGCTTGTTTATCCTCTGGGCTCTTTTACTATTTTCAAATTTTCATTGGTTTTCTCCAGCTTAATTGGGACATGGATTTCTTTCTATATATTCTGCTTTGAGTTCATTGTTTTTCTTAAACCTTAGGAAGCACTTCGTTTATTTTAGAAATACATTGTTATTATATCATTTTATATGGCTTCTATCCATTTTTCTTTATTTGTCATCTGGATTTCTAATTATGTATATGTTTGACTGTCCAGTCTTCCTTAAACTTTTTAACCTCTCTTCCTCACATCTCCCCATGGTTTTAGTTTTTTATTCCATTATTTATTCTGAATACTTTTGTTTCATGTATTCTCATTTTATTGAGTAATTTGTGGATACGTTATATTTCTATTTAATTTTTTCTCTATGTTTGTTCAATAATTTTAAATATATCAAGTACATGGATTTGTAACTATTTTATGATCCTGCCATTTTATCTTAAATGATTAGTTTACCTTATAAATGCATCATTAATCATTTTCTTTGATTTATAATTTGAATTATAAAATTTCTATTCATTTTTGGTATATTGGTGTTATATACAGCAACAACATTTTGCACTCTATATCATCTCTGGAAAAAAACTAGACATGTCTTCTTTCCTAATGTTTATAAATTTTCATTCTTTTTTAAAATCATTGGTCTAAATCTTTAGGACAATTCTTATGAGAAGCACTAAATGTGATCACCTTTGTTTTACTATTTATTTTTATTTATTTATTTTATATATATTTTTTCATCTTTATCCATATATTTGTTCTTAGTTAAATTAGTAGATATTATGCTGACTATGAGCATCTGGTTAATGTTCTTTATCTAATTATGAAAGTTATTCTATATTTCTAATCGAAGAGTATAATTTTTATAAGTGGAGAGTTAAACTTTTTTGAATATATTTTTGTCCTTTTAATGAAATTATCATGTTTTTCCTTTAATTCGTTGAAGTGATAGAATATAGTAAATAAAGTGGAATTAAGAAATACATTATTTGAAATGCAGATGCCAATGATCTAAAAGTCCAGGTAATTGAGTAGATCATCAATATAAATTTTGATTTTGTTAAGAATAATGATAATAATAGTGACATAAGGGAAGGATGGTAAACTAGGTGAAAGAATGAGGAGAATTTAAGAATGAGAAGGAATGAGAAATGTTAATAGATGCCAGTATCAAAGAGAGCTTATAGATAATGAAGTCTAACGGCACCAACTTGAAGAAATCCTTGGTGTTTGAGAGATAACAAGTAGTCTAGGAGCTGAAATGAGATACATAAATATGCTATCTTTATGCCTTGCAATACATAGATTATTGGAAGGAAATAAACAACAACTACAGCTCCCACTTTAAAGGCTCCTTTGGCTATCACATCTTCAACAACATACGAGTCAAAACAGGAGACTTCAGAGAATAGTTTGAAGTAGAATAGGGGAGTAGGGTTACTGATGAAAGAAGGTGTTACAAAGGGACCTAGTGAAAATGTTTGAGAGATAAGGAAAGAATGAAAGATTAGGTCGCTTTAAGAAATGAACAGAATTTTATGAGGATGAGTTCTAGTGGTGAGAGATTTCTTGGAGACTTAGACTCTTTTGATAGCGACAGGAGGCACAGAGGAATAATAATTAATGAGGAGACTTTTAAAATATTTCATAGGAAAGATAACACATCAGTTCAAATTAGAATCTCCCTAGTATGCTCCTTTTTTGTTAATATAAGTGTTAATTAAAAGTTTAAGTCACAAAAACATTGAATTTACTTATAAAATAATTTAATATATGTAATCTAATACAGCAGAATTACTAAATGTCAGTCTTCAATCTACTGTTTTATATTTAAACATGCAAATTTATATAATTTAATGATTTATTTTGCTTTATTTTACTCACCATTTCAGCTACAAAAATTTACAGTTTAAGATTATGTAGCGATACACTGAGAGATTTTCAACTTATCCGAGACAACATGATGATTGGAAAGGATGTTTATTTTAAAATCAAATAGGCTGAGATTGTACTTCAGGTTCTTCTACTTAATCATGATGATTTGATCTTTTCAGAATTACTGAATCTAGTTTTTTTAAGAATAAAATTAGAACAATATAATTTTTAGGATTAAATGAGTTATGTAGAATCCCTGGTCATATTTGTTGCTCAGAATGCTAGTCCCTGTGAATTGCCTGAAAATTAAATGAGGTGACACCTGATCAGGGTAGTATGAAGAGAACCATTTGACCTTAAAATTGTTTAAAGAAAGAACCAGGCTATACTATTGAATTCAATCTTCTCTTCATTCTGGTTAAAATATAGAGATATGTACATATTTAGAAAACACTATATTTTCCCACTTCTATTAACTATGAAACATCCCAGCTAAAGCAAAGATTAAAGGAAAACAAAGGCAATGAATAGGAAAAAAATAGTATACTCCCTGCAATAATTGACGAATTCAACTTATTCCAAAAACGATCTGATTCACTTTTATGGGAAGATTCCAAAGTAAGCATGCTTGGGTTAGAAGCTGATCTATAAGCAGATTTACCTGCCTTAGTTGAAAAACAAAGCTAGGGGAGGGAAGAATATTGCTAATTTTTACAGAGACAAAAGAAGGCAGGGAAGACATTGAGATTGCATTTTATATCAGTCTTGGACTTGGAAAAGTAAGACTTTTTCTTGACATGTAAAACTTTACACATAAAACATTAGTGTAAGAAGTCATTCATTTTTCGAATAAAGAAGGGAAAAGATGAGTGCATGACAGAAGAGACTCAGAACCTCTTTTTTTTCTGGAGCAAAGAGAATATATTGAAAAGTGGAAAGTTGATAAGTGTTAGAAGAATTAGATGAGAGGCTCTAAACAAATAAATTTACTCACACTTCAAAGGACCAAAACTTCATCTGATAATAGAATAGCAGGGGAACAATAACTTTTATTTCTGTCTCTAAAAAGATGGCTTTTTGAGAGATTGCACTACATTTTCTTCTACTCAGCGCTCTTCAGGAAGACTCTTGTAGTTGTTACTTTTACTTCTGTTAGTGATTTTGAACACTAAATTTTCCCAGTCATATTCTCTCCTGTATATCAATAATTGCTTTGTGCAACTGGTCTCTTGAGAACCATTAAGGCTTAGAATTCCTTTAAAAGTGTTTCTTACAGCAAGGTGTTGTCTAGCAACCCTCTTAATTCACTTGTATAGATATCTTGTTTGTGGGAGTACCTATTTATTCAATTTTTTTAATTCATAAAAGATGCTTGTAAGTTTTTTTTAAGTATATCAAGGAGTAAACTTAAAGCTACATTCGAAATAGGTTTTTTTTGAAACTAGGGAAATTATAGGAATAAAAATAACAATATATATCATGTGTTACCATCACTAAAATTTTGTTCATATACTTTCTTCTACCTTATTTTTGCAACAATTTTGTGAATTAGAACTGTATTGTTATCTTCATTTTACAACTGATAGTACACACGTACAAAATGTAATGGGCCTGCCCAATGCACAGAACTAATGAGTACTGAGTGGAAATATGACTCCTCAAGTATCATGTTTCTAAAGCCAGGGCTCTGTAAACAATATGGTGAATTCTCTGTTTGTACCTACAAATACCAATATATGAAGTTTTATGAAAACTTATCTGAACTGGCTAGGTTTAATTGATCTACTCATTGTCTTACTTTTTTTTTTTAAATACTTAAATAGAGAAATAATGCTTTATGAATTCTCTGTTTGTACCTACAAATACCAATATATGAAGTTTTATGAAAACTTATCTGAACTGGCTAGGTTTAATTGATCTACTCATTGTCTTACTTTTTTTTTTTAAATACTTAAATAGAGAAATAATGCTTTAAGAATTCTCTGTTTGTACCTACAAATACCAATATATGAAGTTTTATGAAAACTTATCTGAACTGGCTAGGTTTAATTGATCTACTCATTGTCTTACTTTTTTTTTTTAAATACTTAAATAGAGAAATAATGCTTTAAAGTAAAATTATGCTTATGTTTTTAATATGCAGAGTCCTATAATAACATTTAAAGTAATTTTCAGTTTTAAAACAGTTTAATTATCTAGCTTTAAGCTGTGCATTTGAGAAAACTAAGAATGAGAAAAACAAACAAATGACAGATTCTGAAAGAAACGCTTAATTGTGTGGTACTGAACCTTTGGCTGTTTTGAACAGGAGTAAATTTGCAAAGGAAAGTCTGGTCATGTATCAAATAGTGCTGGATTTATCAACAAAAGTTCCACAGTGAAACATAATAAAAACTATAGGAACCAGGAGTTCAAAAAAAATAACATTGCTGAACCTTCATTTGGTGCAGTATATATTTTTATTTATATTAAGCTACAGAAAATCAATAGTATAGACTTTATTAATAATACATTGGTTGCCATTTTTGTGCTTTGACTTCAGGCCAGTAAGATTTAAACCACCTTAGAACTCCTAAGTGTGAAATTTCAGATATAAGAATTTAATATTCCTAATTATCCTTGTTTTAAACTGAAGATAATACTACTGTCTGCCTCATGATAATATAGCAAGTCATATAAGAGTTAATGGACAAGTGGACATACCGTGCCAAGCACAGTGGATGTAACATGGCTTGAGCTCAATAAATACTACTCCTTCTTGTCCTTTTTGATCTCTCTTTTTTTCTCTCTCTTTCAAAAAAAAAAAAAAATAATGTACATTGGACTTTCCTATTTCGTTCAAGACCATAGTGTTTTCTTCTCTGTCCAAATAATTGTTTGAAGATACTCTTCAGAAAATAAAAATGTAACTTATTATTTTAGTGTATTATTCATTTTCTGCTGTTATATCAGAATATCTGAGACTGGGTAATTTATAATCGACAGAAATTTATTGGCCCATGGTTCTGGAGACTGAGAAGTCCAAGATCTGGGGGTTGCATCTGGTGAAGGCCTTATTGCTAGGTCACAACACGGCAAAAGGTATTGCATGGCAAGAGAGAGTAAGAGAGAACCAAACTCACTTTTATTAAAAAGCCACCCTTACTCTCATGAGTGAACCCACACTCAAAATAATAATGTTAATCCATTCATCAGTGATGAACATCCATGACCTAATCACCTCTTAAACTTTCTACCTCTCAACACTGTTGTATTGAAGATTAAGTTTTCAGAACATGAACTTTGGAGGACACATTCAACCCATAGCATTCAGTGTGTGTTCATTCACCAAGTGTATGCAAATTAAAGTGGAATAATTTTATGACATCAACTAGAACACCAGAATCAGTAAAGAGGAACACAGTGATACAGGTTTTCTGACTTAAAATGAAAAGTCTCAGGATACAAAATCAATGTGCAAAAATCACAAGCATTCCTATACACCAATAACAGACAAACAGAGAGCCAAATCATGAGTGAACTCCCATTCACAATTGCTACTAAGAGAATAGAATACCTAGGAATAAAACTTACAAGGGATGTGAAGGACCTCTTCAAGGAGAACTACAAACCATGCTCAAGGAAATAAGAGCAGACACAAACAAATGGAAAAACATACGATGCTTATGGATAGGAAGAATCAATATGGTGAAAATGGACATAGTGCCCAAATTAATTTATAGATTCAATGCTATCCTCATCAAGCTACCACCGAATTTCTTCACAGAACTGGAAAAAAGTACTTTAAACTTCACATGGAACTAAAAAAGAGCCTGCATAGCCAAGAAAATCTGAAGCAAAAAGAACAAAGCTGGAAGCATCATGCTACCTGACTTCAAACTACACTGCAAGGCTACAGTCACCAAAACAGCATGGTACTGGTACAAAAACAGACATACAGACCAATGGAACAGAACATAGGCCTCAGAAATAACACCACACATCTACAACCATCTGATCTTTGACAAACCTGACACAAAAAAGTACTGGGGAAAGGATTCCCTATTTAATAAATAGTGTTGGGAATACTGGCTAGCTGTATGCAGAAAACTGAAACTGGACCCCTTCCTTAGACCTTATAGAAAAATCAACTCAAGATGGATTAAAGACTTAAACTTAAGACCTAAAACCATAAAAATCCTAGAAGAAAACGTGGACAATACAATTCAGGACATAGACATGGGCAAAGACTTCATGTCTAAAACACCAAAAGCAATGGCAACAAAAGCCAAAGTAGACAAATGGAATTTAATTAAACCAAAGAGCTTCTACACTGCAAAAGAAACTATCATCAGAGTAAACAGGCAACCTACAGAATGGGAGAAAATTTTTGCAATCTATCCATTGCACAAAGGGCTAATATCCAGAATCTATAAAGAACTTAAACAAATTTACAAGAAAAAAACAAACAACCCCATCAAAAATGGGCAAAGGATATGAACAGATTCTTCTCAAAAGAAGACCTTTATGCAGCCAACAAACATATGAAAAAATGCTCATCATCACTGGTCATTAGGGAAATGCAAATCAAAACCACAATGAGATACCATATCACACCAGTTAGACTGGACCATCAAAAAGTCAGGAAAAAACAAATGCTAGAGAGGATGTGGAGAAATAGGAACGGAACGCTTTTACACTGTTGGTGGGAATGTAAATTAGTTCAACCATTGTGGAGGACAGTGTGGCAATTCCTCAAGGATCTAGAAATAGAAATACCATTTGACCCAGCAATCCCATTACTGGGTGTATACCCAAAGGATAATAAGTCATTCTACTATAGAGACACATGCACCCGTATATTTATTGGAGCACTGTTTTCAAGAGCAAAGACTTGGAACCAACCCAAATGTCCATCAATGATAGACTGGATAAAGAAAATTTGCACATATACACCATGGAATACTATGCATCCATAAAAAAGGATGAGTTCATGTCTTTTGCATGGACATGGATGAAGCTGGAAAACATCATTCTCAGCAAACTATCACAAGAACAGAAAACCAAACACTGCATGTTCTCACTCATAAGTGGGAGTTGAACAATGAGAACACATGGACACGGGGAGGAGAACATCACACACCAGCGCCTGTCAGGGGGTGGGGGGCTGGGGGAGGGATAGCATTAGGTGAAATACCTAATGGAGGTGACGGGTTGATGGGTGCAGCAAACCACCATGGCAAGTGTATACCTTTGTAACAAAACTGCACGTTCTGCACACATACCCCAGAACTTAAAGTATAATAATAAAAATAAATTGGGGCAAAAAACTTATGAAGTGCCCTTTATTTAAATAGTTACAAACTGAAAAGGTAAAAAACTGGTTTATCGGATCCAAGGAGAAGAAAGGTGATCCCATACATTTGAATTTTTATTTAACAGTTTTTTAAGTTGTGTAATACATCACATATAAATGAATAAATCACAAATTAAGAATCACATTAAAAAAGTATACAAAGATTATTTACTACAAATCAAATTTTCAATATCAGTGATGCAGGTCTAAGTAGAGTATGGTTAAAACTGGCCCAATTGTTCCACAGAATTAATATTTAGAGTTTCCTTTCAATAAACACAGAAATTGACCCTCCAAGTGTTAAAACTTAAGAAAGTCACATTTGTCTTATCTGAGTTCCTTCAGCAGGAAAGCAACCATCAGTCCTCCCAAAGAGTAACAAGGAACTGAAACCTCATCTGTCATGATTGCCTAAGAGATTACCTGGTTCCTGTTGGCCAACTCATCTTCCTTACTTCTCCCTAATTCCTGTTTTCCTGTATATAACCATGTTTCTTCTTTGCTATATAAACCTCTGATTTTAGTTAGTCCGGGAGATGAATTTGAGACTGATCTCCCATCTCCTTGGCTATAACACAAAGCCTCTCCATGTTCCAGAGTTTACCACTTTTCTACTTTTATTGTAATCATCACCTTGATTTGTTTTTTTAGGTATACCAACTAATCATGTCTGCCAAACACTTTAGTAATGTCTGTTTTATAAGCTTTGCATAAATAGAATAATAGAGTATATATATATATATTTGTATCTGGCTTCTTTATTAACTTTATAGCTATTAGGTTGACCTGTGTAATTGTATATAGATGTACTTTATTTATTTTTGTTGATAAATAGTGTTTCCTGTATACATTTTGGGAGGAAATGCCTTTCCTCACCTAGGTCTGTCGGGATGGGGCCCTAGCTAGGGACCACACACTTCCCTTTCCCCTTTTTATATCATTTAAAGGGACCAAGACCTTCCCTTCCCAGCACTTCCATATCAATGGCAATGCCTGCTTTATAAACTTTGCATAAATAGCATAATAGAGTATAGTGTGTGTATGTATATATATACATACTCTCTCTCTATATATATTTGTATCTGGCTTCATTAACTTCATCATTGTAAGGTTGACATGTGTAGCTGTACTTTATTTATTTTTGCTGATAAATAGTGTTTCCTACTTAAATTTGCCACAATTGATTTATTCATTTTACTAATGACAGATATTATTTTTGTTGTTTCTAAGATGTTTGTTTTCATTGTCAATATGCACACATTAGGCAGGACTAGACTTAGGAATAAATTTACTGCTCCCCTAGTCATGTGGTGGTACCATTTCACATTCCATCAAAAGTTTATGAGCATTCGTTTGCTTAATATCATCTCCACCACATGAAAATATCAAAGTTTTTAAAATTATGGTCATTTGTTCAGCGTTCAGTTGGATATTATTGGGGTTGAGCCTCCCCAAATGCATATTTTGAAACCTTAATTTCCAATGTGATGGTATTTGGAAATGGGGCTTTTGAAAGGTAATTGGGTCATGAAAGTAGAGCCTCGATAATGGGATTAGTGCCTTTATAAGATGACACAGGAGAGAACTTGCTTCTCTCTCTGTACACTGCCTGTGAGGACACAGCCAGAAGACAGACATCTACAATCTAAGTGGATCCACACTGGAACCTGACCATGCTGGCACTCTGCTATCAAACTTTGCAGCCTCCAGACTGTAAGAAATTAATATTTTTGTGTAAGTCACTCAGTATATGGTAATTTCCTATAGTAGCTTGAACTCAATAAGATGGGATTTAAATTTCCATTTTCCTGATTATTAATGAGGTTGAGCATGTTTTTATAGGACAATTGGAAATATTCTTCTGTAAAATTCAAGTTACTCCTACACTTTTTATTGAACTATTATTCGTTTATTTGTAATAATAATTTACATATATTTGAATGCAAGTTTTTGACTAACATTTATAAACTTCTACAGTTTATGAATTTTTCCCCAATTCAAATGGTGAATTTTGATATGTGTGTATGTGTTTTCATCTTACTGCAGTTTATTTTGCCTTATTTTCTTTTCTGGTTACTCTTATTATTTATATTACTGTTGTCTGACTGAAAAAGTTTTTCCAACTAGTTCACAAATGCTTTTGCTAATTTTGGTCCTGTGGGTTTCCATATAGATTGTACAATGTTGTCATATTCCAAAAATTACATCTGTCGGGTTATAATTTTACAACCAATTTAATCAGTTTGAGAAGAAGTGATATCTTTGTAATATTGACTCTTTAAATACACAGAAATACTTTAGTCTTTATATAGGTCTTATTTGGTCTCAAAGATGCTTTGTACTTATTTTATATAAAGGACTTGTATATATGTTTTAGGTTTATTTCTAGAAATTTGATATGTTTTTGATACTTTGTTAGATGGTCTCTTGGATTAAGTTTTATTTTCTTATTGCTGCATGCACACAAACACATGACTGGGCACAAATGCAGTTAATTTTTCTATGTTAAACATGTATCCAGGAACACTGCTGAACTCATTTTAAATTACAGTAATTTAATTTAAGTATATTTTGGAGATTTTCAAAAATCATGAGATTTGTGAATACTGGCAATTTGGTTTCTTTCTTTCCAATCTTTGTATTATTTATTTTGTTTTCTTGCCCTACTGCACTGCTTAGATGAGACTGGATTAAAAAATAATTCAATTATATGTTGTTACAAGAGATATACCTCATATTTCAAGACATATTGGAAGTAAAGTAATAGAAAAGATTTATCAGACAAATATCAGTGACTAGAAATCCGGTGTGCTATACTGATATCAGGCAAAATAGACTGGAAAATATTATACTGGATTTACCACATGAATTTGAAAATGCTTTGTTTTTTATTTTCTCTAAAAGATTTTTAAGTAAGATTAATTGTATAATTCTTAAAATTTTGGTAAAATTCACTGGTGAAGCTATCTAAACACGTATTTTTTATCTTGGAAAGTTATTGAATTATGTGTAAAATTTATTTAGAAATTATACAGTCTTTTATATTTTCTATTCTTGTGTTAGATTTGGTAAATCATAACTTTTTAGAAACTCTTGATTTCATCTTAATTTTTAAATGTATTAACCAATTTTTTCACACTCAACCAACTTTCTTTTGGTTAGTAATTTTATATTATATCTTTTTCCTTACTATACTTTTACCTCCATTTTTTTTGTTATCATATGTATTAGGTATGTTGCCTACGAAAAAGTTAGTTTCCAAGGGCTGCCATAATAAATTACTACAAAACTGGCATATGAACACAATTATATTCTCTCACTTTCAGACTTTGACATCGTCTCTGTCAAAATTCCAACACATTTTTCTGCATAAATGGAAAAGCTAATGCTTAGACTGTATGTAAATGCAAAGGGTTCCAAATAAACTTAATAATCTTGAGAGAAAAGATCAAATTTGGAGGGCAAACACTTACCATTTTCAAAACTTTCTCCAAAGCTACAATAACCAAAACAGTGTAGTACTGTCAAAAGGACAGACATAAAGAACAACGGAATAAAACTGGAAGTTCAGAAATACACCCTTACTTTTATGGCCAGTTGATTTTCTGCAAAGATAAGTCTACTCAATGGGGAAAGAATAGCCTCTTAAACAATGCCACTAGAACAACAACCAGATTTACCTATGCAAAAGAATGAAGTTGGACCCCTGCCTCCTACCATGTACAAAAATGCATTCAAAATGGATCAACAATCTAAATATAAGAATTAAAACCATAAATCTCTTGGAAGAAAATATATGAGTATATCTTCACAATCTTGGATTTTGCTATGGATTCTTAGACATAACACTAAAAGTACAAGCAACAGAAGACAAAAAGTTGATAAATTGGACTTTATCCAAAACTTTTGAGCACCAAATGATATTATGAGTGATGTCAGCAGAATAGTTCCTATTCCCCTACAGCAACAGTAAATTTGCAGCCATGCACAGACGAAAATACCCTTATGGGAACTTGGAAAGTTGTGAAACCCTGGTGCAGCCCAAGACCTAGGGGGTCCTTTTCGGAGGGCAGAAGGGCACCTACGTGGCCAGCTCACTGACTGCAGCTCCAGTTCCAGAACTTGAAATGGTCCTTCCCCCGATAGACTTGGCTGTAACTTCATTTGTTCTTGGTCCTGGTACTGGAACTGTCCACCCAGGGACCTGGAAGGAGTCACACTCATTTGTGCCTCAGGTTATACATCTACAACTTGATGTTATCTGTGGAACAGAAAAGCCTCTGAAAATTGGCTGTAGCCCCTCTCAGTAATGGTCAGAGTTCAGTCCTGTTGGCAGTACAGGGACTCAGAGAGAGACAGGCACACCTGAGTCCCCATGCCTGGCTCACCAACCTCAGACTGGCAGCAGACTCCAACAGGGCTCTGAGTCCCAGCTAACAAATTGGTGAACTGTGTAGAAATAAAAAAAAATCAAGATAGAAAAATCAGTAGCATTTCTATACATCAACAACAAACTATCTAAAAAGAAAAAAATCACAAAAACAATTCCAGTTAAAATAGCTACGAAAAAAAAACCTCAAAAATAAATTTAACCAAAAAGTAAAAGACCTATACACTTAAAAGGTTAAAACTTTGATGAAAAAAATTGAAGAAGACAAAAATAAATAGAAAGCCCATGTTCATGGATTGAAATACTGTTTTTAAAATGTTCATATAACCTAAATGAACACTAAAATTCAACAGTGAAAAATAACAAGTGTTTGTGAAGATGTGGAGAAATTGGAACTTTTATACATTGCTCGTGGGAATATAAAATTGTGCAGCAGCTGTGGAAAGCAGATTGATGCTTCCTCAAAAAGCTAAACATAAAATTACCATATGACCCAGCAATTCCGTGTCTAGGTATATGCCCAAAATAATTGAAAGCGTGAAACCAAATGATAATCTACACCAAAATTCATTGCAGTACTACTCACAACAAATAAAAGATGAAAATAAACCAGTATCCATCGGCACATAAATAAATTATATATATATATATATACATATATATATGTATGCATACAGTGGGAAATTATTTAGACATACAAAAAGATGAATGAAGTTCTGATACATGCTACAAGAAGGATAAACCAAGAAAAGTATACTAAATGAAATAAGCCAGGAACAAAATGCCAATTATTTTATAATTTGAAGAAAATATCTACAGTAAGCAAATTCATAGAGACATTCAATAAATTAGAGGTTACCAGGTTTTGTGGAATAGGGGACTATTGGTTATTCCTTAAAAATTACAAAGTTTTTTGGGAGAGGTGACAAAAACATTTTACACATAAAAATGACAAATTATATATTATGTATATAAATTTCCACTAAAAGAGAAAAATTCTAAAGTACCAAGTTTCATCTTCCAAACCTTCTCAATCATGTTTGGTTGGGAATGTGTATGGTCCACCCTAGGTCAAAATACTTCTTCATCTGTGAACAGGGAAAACAAACAAATTTATCTGCTTTTAAAATGAAATAGTGGTACAGGCATTAGATAGATATTTTTATATTAACAGGTAGAAATTTGTAGGAGTAAAGGATCACTAGTTCCAAGCAACTCCAAATCTTCGCAGAGTAGATCTGTAAATTCAAGGCTTAGGCTTAATCCTTTTAGGCTTGATGGTCTGTTCTCTGGCTCCACTCTCTGGAATTAACTTTGTAATGACCTTTGTGACAATTCTTCCCTCAGAATTATTCTTCATTTTTCTGAAGGTTAGCACTTGTTTTCTGCCAGAGTTGCTCTAGCAGGACACGTTTTGCTTGTAGAATCCCCAAATAATGACAGCCTTTTCATTTCATCCCATTTCTGTCCTCTTCAGTCCAAGCTGCCAGTGTTTTTGGTGGTATAACATTCTGAAAAATCTTGAGGGTCTCTGTGTCTGTCAGGGGGACCCACATTGTTAAACAAAGGGTTCTCCACAGATCCTTTCTTTATAGCTTGTCTCTATTTATGGCTTCTGTGGAAATGATTGATTGGATGCATGAGTTATACATCTCATGTCTTTACCAGAAGTTTGTCCAGCCACACTCTACCCTTTCTCCAGAGCATGCTCTAGCATCTTTTGCAGTCTTGATAGGCTGAGAATTTTCCAAATCATTGAGTGTTGCTTCCTTTTTGCTTAACAGTTCCTTCATCGATGTATCTTTGTCTTCTTGCATTTTACTATAAGTAATAAAAAGAATCCAGGCCACACCTTCAAAACTCTGCTTAGAAATCTCTTCTTCAAAATATCCTAGGTGAATTCTTAAAAGTTCTTTTCCTCACCCATTAATAGAAACAATTAAGTCAAGTTTTCTGCCAATTTATGACAAGGATTACATTTCCTCCAGTTCCAAATATCATGTTTCTTTTCTCTGTCCTAGACCTTGCCATAAGTACTTATAACCTCTATATTTTCACCAACAGTCTCTCCAAGGCAATATATACTTTTTCTGTTACATGACTCAAAATTCTTCCAATCTCTAGCCATTTCCCATTTCCAAAGCCACTTCCACATTTCTTAGTATTTTTTTTATATTTGCAGCCCACTTCCCAGGACTAAACCTTTATTTGTCTTCTAGGTCTACTGTTATGAATTGCCACAACTTGGAGGCTTAGAACAACACAAATTAGTACTCTCACAGTCCTGAAGGCTACAGCTCTGCAATCAAGATATCAGCAAGGCCATCATTCCACTAAGGCTCTAAGGAAGAATCCATTTTTGCCTCTTCCTGCTTCTGGTAACCCCAAGCATTCCTTGACTTATGGCAGCATAATTCCCATTCTGTTTCTGTCTTCACATGGTTTTCTTTTCTGTGTCCACGTATGTTCTTTTCTGCCTCTTATAAGGACACTGTCACTGGATTTAAGGTCCACTCTGATTCACCATGATTTCATCTTAATTTCTACCTCAGTTACATTTACAAAGATTCTATGTCAAAAGAAGGTCACATTCTAGGGCACCTGGTAGACTTAAATTCTGGAGGGAAACAATTCAACCCACTGTGGTTGGCTTTAGATTATTTAATCTGATAATCTGTTTCTATTAATTACAGTATTTTGTTCATTTATATTTATGGAAGTTACAAATAGAGTTATATTTAAACCTAAATAACATGAGCTGCTTTTATTTGTCATATACAGGCATAGCTTGAAGATATTTTGGGCTCAGTTCCAGACCCACTGCAATAAAATAAATATCATACTAAAGCAAGTTATGTGGACTTTTCTGTTTTCCAGTGCACATTAAGGTTGTGTTTGCCCTGTACCCAAGGCTGTTGAGTGTGTAATAGCATTATGTCTAAGAAAACAATGTGTATATGTTAACTCAAAAATACTTTATTGCTAAAATAGGTTAACAACCATCTGAGACTTCAATGAGTCTGACTCTTTTCTGGTGGAGGATCTTGCCTTGATGTTGATGATTACTAACTGATCAGCATGGTGGTTGCCGAAGGTTTGGTGGTTGTGGCAATTTCTAAAAATAAGACAACAGTGAAGTTTGCAGCATCGATTGACTTTTCCTTTAACGAAAGATTTCTCTGTAATATGTTCTCTGATGCTATTTGATAGCATTTTATTCACTGTAGAACTTCTTTAAAAACTGGAGGCAGTTTTTTCAAACTCTACTGCTGTTTTATCAAATGAGCATATGAATATTCTAAATCCTTTGTCATTTCAATGATGTTCACAGCATCTTCACCAGGAGTTGGTTCTGTCTCAAGAAACTACTTTCTTTGTTTTTCTGAAGGAAGCAACTTCTCATCTGTTCAAGTCTCATCATAGGATTGAAGCAATTCATTCACATCTTCAGGGTCCACTTCTAATTGTACTTCTCTTGCCATTTCCATAACATCTGTAATTAGTTCCTTTACTGAAGTCTTGAACTCCTCCAAGTCATTTATGAGTGTTGGAATCAGCTTCTTCCAAATCCCTGGTAATGTTGATATTTTGACTTCCTTTCATGCATCATGAATGTTCTTGATGACATCTAAGATTGTGAATTATTTCCAAAAGATTCTCCATTTACTTTTCCCAGATTCACCACAGGGATCACTATCTATGGTATCTAGGGCCTTATAAAATGTATTTCTTAAATCATAAAAATTGAAAGTCTAAATTACTCCTTTATGCATTGGCTGCAGAATGGATGTTGTGTTAGTAGGCATGAAAACAATTCCAATCTCCTTATACAACTCCTTCAGAGCTCTTGGATTACTAGGTGCATTCTCAGTTAACAGTAATACTTTAAAATAAATCTATTTTACTGAGAAGTAGGTCTTAATATTGGACTTAAGGTATTCAATAAACTATGCTGCAAACAGATGTTCTGTCATCCAGGCTTTGTTGTTCCATTGCTAGAGCACAGGCAGAGTAGACTTAGCATAATTCTTAAGGGCCCTAGGATTTTCATCTCGGTAAAGAAGCACTGGCTTCAACTTAGTCACCTGCATTAGCATTTAAGAGAGTGCTCCTAAGAAAGCTCCTTTGAAGCTTTCAAGCCAGGCATTGGCTCCTCCTCTCTAGCTATGAAAGTCCTAAATGGTATCTTTTTCCAACATAAGGCTATTTCATCACATTGAAAATCCATTGTTTGATGTAGTCACTTTGATCAATGATCTTAACTAGATCATCTGGATAACTTGCTGCAACTTCCACTTCAGCATTTGTTACTTCAACTTGTGCTTTTATGTTATGGAGATGGCTTCTTTCCTTAAACCTTGTGTACCAACCTCTGCTAGCATCAAACGTTGTTTCTGCAGCCTCCTTAACTCTCTCAGCTTTCACAGAATTCATAAAAGTTTGAGCCTTGCTCTGGATTAGGCTTTGGCTTAAGGCAATACTGTGGCAGTTTTGATCTTCTATCCAGACCACTTAAACTTTCTATCAGAATAAGGCTGTTTTATTTTATTTATTTATTTTTTATCATCGATGTGATCAGTGGCATAGCACTTTTAGTTTTCTTCACAAAATTTTCTTTTCCTTTCACGACTTGACTAACCAGTTGGCTCAAGAGGCCTTGATTTTGGTCTATTGCAGATTTCAAAGGGCTTCCTCACTAAGCTTAATCATTTGTAGCTTTTGATTTAAAGTGAGAGACATGCAACACTTATTTTCATTTGAACACTTAAATGCCATTGTAGGGTTATTAATTGGCCTAATTTCAGTATTGCTGTGTCTCAGGGGATAGTTGTGTCTCAAGAAAAGGGAGTAAGATAGAGGAATGGCCAGTCAGTGGAGCAGTCAGTACACACACATTTATTGATTAAGTTTGCCATCTTTTATGGGCATGATTTGTGGCACCCCAGAACAATTGTAATATCAGAGATCACTGGTCATAGATCATCATAACAGATATAATAAGGGAAAAGTTCAAAATATTTTGAGAATTTCAAAATGTGACATAGAGACATTAAATTAGCACATCCTATTGGAAAAATCGTGCCAATAGACTTGCTCAATGAAGTTGCTATAAACTTTCAATTTTTAAAAAATGCAATATTTGCAAAGCACAATAAAGTGAAATGCAAAAATGAGGTATGCTTGTATATTGAAATTGCCTATTATTCCTTTTTTTCTTGTTTTCTGTAGTCATTTTTTTTCCTGTTGTTCCAAATTTAAGCATTATAACTTTGAAACTGTATACATGTTTACTATCATGTAGGGGTTATGCTAAAAATTATGTTTTTTACTTGAAGTGTAATATTAATTAGTACTGTTCTCTTTCTCTTCCATGATAAAAGTTCTCAGAATGTTTATTTTAATTTTACTTATCCACTCTCAATCTATGAGCTTTTATTTTTATTTTTTATTGTTTTTATTGATGTATATAGTAAGTTAAATAATCTATTTATACACCCATTACTTAAAATTTTAGCTGTTCTTTAATCCTTCCTGAATCTCTATCTCTTTAAGAGAAACTAAGGATAATTATTATTCTTTCTAACAGTCTTTATTATTTTCTTTAGAATGGCTTGATGATGAATTCTTTCAAGTTGATTTTCTTTCAGTATTCATGTAGAGTATTTTCACTGTTTGTAAAATTTCGGTTTAACAATTATTTTACCTGGTCATTTAAATAGTATCATTCAATTTTCTTAGCCTTTGTCTTTTCTTTTGAGAAGTGAAGCATATGTGCTCAATAGTCCTCCTATAACTCCTAAGCTCTGACAATTTCTGTACACTGCAAGTTTTTATTCCCATATCCTGCAAATCTAGCTAGAATTTGTTTTTAGCTACAAAAGCAGATTTCGCACTCATGTGGTGCCAGCTGGTAGTGCCTAGAAGTTAATGAACTAAGAGTAGCCTTCAATCAGTGATGGATGGAAGCAGGTGAATAAATACAACAACCTCTGTCCTCAGCTGATGTGTAATTCTAAGGCACTTTCTACAGAGGCTTTTGGAGATTCTCAGCAGGATTAAGTGTCAGTTGATCAACTAACACAGCTTACATTAGCTTCTTTGTTTTTCTTATATCCTGATTCCCTTAACTATGTTTCCTTCATCACCATTCAAATAAACTATTTGTATGCACGATCTTGCCTCAGGATCTGTTTGGAAATATCTTAATGCAAAACTCTTGATTTTTTTGGAATACTACGTCTTTTTTTCCTCTGATACCTTTTCCCATTTTTTTCCTCTGTCTTCACATTTCAGAGGTTTTGCTCTGAGGCACTAAGGTGTAAATTGCTTTTTGACAAATCCTTCTTAAAAATGTTATGGCCTGTTGAATGTATTGTTTTTAAAAGTTGTTTTAGATTTTTTTTAGCTATTATAACTTCATAAACTGCTTCTCCCTTTTCTCTTTTCTTCCCTTAGATTCCAATTAAACATATATTAGGCCTTCTTGATGTGTCTTCCTTGTCTTGTCTCTTATCTTTTGTATTTTAAATTCTATTTTAATCTTTATACTTTATTCTAAATATTTTCTGTGACGTAGTTTTCAGTTTATTTACTCTTTATTTAACTATAACTTATCTTTAATCTATCCATTGAGTTCTTAACTCCTTTACTATATTGCTGTTTTTGAAAGTGTCAATTTTTTTGCAAGTTTTTCAAACTAGTTTCATCTCCCTAAATGTAACATGCATTGTTATTTTAAAGTATTTTTATGACTACTCCAATCACTTGGACTTCTGAGTTCTATTTTTATTTTCTGTTATTTTTCCTAGTTGTCTTTTGTTCTTATGTGTAGCCCTATTTATATTGTGTACTCATCATTGTGTTAGATAAATCATTTATAGAAATAATTTTAGATCTAAATGATATCATCTTCCTCCAGAATGGCTTTTTCTTTGTTTCCAGGGACACTTGCATTTTGAAATGTTTTCAGGTGCTATTATAGCTTCACAACCATTATAGTTTCAGGAATTGTAATTTAAAGCTAAGCAGCAGTCCTTTTAGGGCTTGTCTACTTCCAGTGCAACCTACTCCTAATGAGCAGCTGTTAGCGTTCCAAGCAAGAATAAAAAGTGTCACCAGTGTTCTCAACTATGAGGACCCTATGTTCCAATTCTGTCTCCTTGCCCCTGCAAATATGTGAAAATCTCCCCTCAGAGTTCTCAGCCACCCTTCTGGAATTAGTCATCGAAGGGCAAGTGGCCCCAAATACAGAGCTCCAAGCTTGAATGACTCCAAGACTTGAGTCATTCCTGACTCCTGGCTCCTTATCATCCTCTATCTTTTTATCTTTCTTTCTGGCGTAGTTTTTAAAAGTTAGTCAAATTTTTTATAGTTGCCTTCAGTGAATGGAAAGTTTGTTTCAGTTGCCTACTGTACCATTGTCAGAAATGGAATTTCACTACTTAAAAAAATTCTCTCAAGTTTTCTGAAATGTTCAGACCCATTATTTGAGTATTCACCCAGCTTCGCAGTGTTTAGTTGATAGACCTTTTTAATCAGAGAGCAAATGCATTATTGCAGCAAAATTTATAGTGGTTATTAAGATCATTTTTATTAATAGAAAGATATAAACAAAGGTTCACATATAGTGTAATGACAAAATCATTAACATTTGCCTAAATATCTGTCTGAACTGCTGACTTTTCCACAAGAGAAATAACTGTTCTAATACCATACAATTATATTTCACTAAAGGACTATGTTTGTATCACTAAAAGACTAGTCCTAGGCAATTACATTTAATATATCTTACTTAGAAATTTCATTCGTAATGGGCATGTAACAGGGAATGTAAATTGAGAGTTTATAACTCATCTTTGATAGAAACTTCTTTTTTTTTCAACTGATCATCAGGGATGCATCCACTTTATTAGACGGCAAACTAGAAAATGCTTCCTACAGTCGCCACATAAAAAGGTACGTGCTTTAACTTACATGTCTATATTCAAATTATCTTACAGAAGAAAATACATTTCCTAGATTAGAAATATGTTCTGTTCTAATTTTAATTTTTTAGGGATTGAAACAAATGAGTAAAATATAGATATTTTATTCAAATGAAAGCCATTTATATTGTGACAAAACTTCTGACAATAGAAAAATCAATCTGTAGAAAATGATTAGTTTTAACTATATAACTTTGGAAGAGATAAATTATAACAAGTTTGTATATTTATTTTGATCTTTTAAACTAGTAGTGTATGCCATGTTATTGTCAATTGAGTCTTAGATACTGATAAAAACCATGAAAATACTCATAATATACCATGATAAAAACCATGAAAATACGCATAATATACCATCAGCATAGATTGCCATCTGAGGGTATAGTTTGATTAATTGACTATATAGTAATGTAATCATTACTATGTTCTTCTCTTAAAAATAATAAAACTTTTGTTCGAATAGTCTGCATGGACCAAATATCTGAAATAAGTTGTATTTGATATCTTATTCATATGGCTTATAAACTGAATTATTTGACAGTCACAAATGATCTTAAATCTTCATACAGTAACTAAATCAATGATATAACTTTATGATTTCTCAGCAAAGAGCAGTTTTACCAGTAAAAGAAAATTCATTGCAAAACTTTGCATTTAGAAATTGTTGTTACATAATATTTTAGATAATTTTGGTACAAAATTTAAACTTTAAAAAACTGACACAAGTGCAAAAGTTATCTGAAATTGAAGTTATGATACAGGTATTTGCAAGGGATTATCTTTTACTTATTTTATCTAATAAAAAATATGTTTGTCTCAGACTTGTTTTGAAAATAAGAGTCTATACTTACAACAGTATAATTCTCAGAATTTTTAGTAGGGTTTAGATAAAAGGAATTTAAATTATTTCAATTTAACACACATTTATTATATACAGGAAAGCAATTTATTGGCTACTGTGGAGGAATCAGAATGGTAAAATATAAAGTCATACTGTAATAGGCCTTTGCCGAGATGACCAAAATTAAATACTTTAAGATAAACTAAGAAGGAAGTTCCCCCCATATGATATAAATTACTTAAGTTTTATCAATCTGCTCTTTTATGTCCTCATTTACTATTTCCACAAAATGTCAGCCACTAAAGCCTTTGGCCAAAAAGTGGGGTCATACTCTTCTCTGGAGGTATATGCTAAATCAGAAAATTATCAATTTAATGATATGTCACCATTACAAATGATTCATTTCTAAAACTAACATTGTGAAATACCTTAATAATTAATAAATTATTAATTGACAGTAACTTTTGTTGCTTTCATATAATTCAGAAGGTCAATTGAAGAAATGATATAGAGTTATTAAAAGTAATGGCAGAAACTGCAGTTACTTTTGCACCAACCTAATAGGTCTCTTTACAAAAAAAAACTGTCTAAGTTCTTTGTCTCTGTATATCTTAGAAACTATTTTAATGATATAATCAGAAATGTTATCAAATATTTATGCTAAGTGATAATTATGACAATGTAATTCATGTTATTAAATATTGAAAATAGTCTATATGTAAACTAATATACTATTGATTAATATATTATCAAGAAAATTTAACTTAACCACGTGCTAGAATATCATGTAGTCTTTAAATTCATGGTTCAAAGATAATTCAATAATATGTGAAATACTCATAATACAATTTAAGTGAAAAGAATGTATACATATGCATACATTTTGTGCGGTAGTGCATGTGTGTGCACACATGTAAGTATGTGTGTTTGCATATATGAGAGACAGACATTGGTCGAAAATTGGGGTAGACTACTTTTTTACTTCCTTAGGTTATTGAGAGGTGCCACTTGGTTTCAGTATCTGCAATATCAACTCATCATTTTTTGGAAAGGAAAAAAGACAGGGACAGGGACTACAAAAGAATTGGCAGTAAACATGAGTTATGACAGTAAGGACAGAAAATTGCTTTCATTTTCCCAGGCTGTACATCTGCTGTAATGTATAGAAGAAAAAATTCAAGGCTGCATTAGATTACCTGAGATCAGACTATAATCCATTTTACAGCTTGCCAGTAATGCATTGGTTTCCTGTGAGTTATTTAATATTTCAGAAAGTAGCTGGGTTTGAACACCTTAACAAGTTTGGCCTCAGTTCAGAGACTCCAACAGCAAAAGGTATTGGTGTAGCACCAGGAGAAGGAGCTAAGAGTAGTTAGAAGAGGTCAAACAGAAGCCAGATCACCCGTAGTAGGAGAAAGTGCAGTGCAAAAGGCCCTTCCCTGGCCATCTGAAAGATCGTATGTTCTTTCCACGTGTCTCTATCAATTTCTGAGCACATCTTTAATTTTTGGGATGAGACAATGTTCAAGGCTCGCCTTTGCAGCTCTACTTCATCAGTTCCAGAATCAGTCATTTATTCAAAAAGTTCTGCTTCCTTTGATGGGAAGAATATTTAGAAACCAAGATCAGGATCGTTGTTTCCTTCTTGGTCTTTTCAGCAGACAGATAAATATACGTGTGTGTGGGTATATATATATATATTCATATGTATATATGTTTTATGTGTGTATGTAACATACACACATATGTATCTTATCTGTGTATATAAAATAACATACATATTTATAACATATAGATAAATAAATTTTCAGTTTAGATTAAATCCTCCAATTCCATTACAACACCACAAAGTTCTTCCTTGTAATCCACCCATTCCACTTTTACATAACTTTCTTCCATGCTGACAATTCTGGCTGTCAATGATACCAATTTATTACTGATTTACTCAATACTATGATATATACAAAATATTTTTGAAATTGGTATATTTATACTGTAAGAATATCAAAAGTGCTAATTAATGTTCAAGATTTATTTGTAGTTCTTTTAAATTTTAATGAACTGTGTATATAGTCAAATTATTTAGATAATTCTATTTTTCCCCTTCTTTGTGAATGTCTTATTAATTTGGCATACGGGTAGATTGTTTTGTATTCTATTTTATATTTTATTTAATATTTATTAATTTTATTTTTAATATGTAAAATAATTTATGTCTAGAAGTCAAAACCATATGAAAATATATACTTTAAAATGTGATACTTCCTCCATTAATTGTTACTATCCATCTCTTCTAGACAACCAAATTCATTGGTTTTGTTTCATCCTTCCTATTATTTTCTTTGAAAAAATTTGCAGGTTTCCTCCTTTTTTCCTTGCAAAGTGATATATATCATTTTGCTTTTTAAAATAGGCCTTATTTTTTAGAGCAGCTTTAGGTTCACAGCAAAATTGAATGGAAATTACTGTTTCCATATCGCCCTTACCTCCATATACCCACATCTTCCTTCACTATCAACATCTCCCTTTAGAGTGGTACATTTGTTGCAATTGATGAACCTACATTGACACATCATTATCACCTAAGTGTACAGTTTCATCAGGATTTATTCTTGTTATGCAATTTGTGAAATAAATGATGCCATGTATTCACCATGTAATATAAAAAATAATTTTGCTGTCTTAAAAATCATCATACATAACCTATTTATATTTTTCTCTCTCAACTCTTATCAACTACTGATCTTTTTACTGTCTCAACAGTTTTTTGTCTTTCCCAGAATGTCATTTAGTTGGAAACATACAATATGTAGCCTTTTTAGACTGGCTTTTGTCACTCAGCAATATGCATGTAAGTTTCCTCCATGTCTTATAATGGCTTGATAGCTCATTTCATTTGCGAGCTGAACAACATTCCATTGACTGGATTACCACATTTTATTTATCCATCCTGCTACTAAGGAACATCTTGGAAACAGCTGCCATAAACACCCATCTGTAGGTTTTTGTGTGAGAATTAGTTTTTAATGTATTTAGACAAATACCAAAGAAGGCAATTTCTGGATCATATGGTGTGAGTGTGCTTAAGGAGTGAAAAAAAACCACCAAACTATCATCTAATGTAGCTGTACCATTTTGCATTCCCACCAGCAGCAAATGAGTGTTCCTGTTTCTCCTCACTCTGCTTTTTTTATTTAGCAATATATTCTGAAAATTACTCTGTCACAACTTTTAGAGACTTTTTACTTATTTTTTACACCTACATAATATTCTATTGCATGTGTTCACCATAGTTTATATTTATATAACCAACCAAATATGTGTGTATATGCACTCAAGTGTATGTTCTGTATAGCTACTTCACAAAGCACATGGACCTAATGCAACAGAAATCAACAATCGAAAATATTTATCTTGATAAAAGGATGACTCTATCTACAACCCCAAATGACCATGAAGTAATTCCAAGAAGTTTATTTATTTCCATTGTGCAATCACTTTCCACGGCATTTACTCTTTACTCTTAATATAGTATCTATAAGATTTGATTGATATCTTATTCCATTTTAGTCTCCAACTTTAAGTAACTTATAGTTTTCCAAATATGGTTGAGCATTGACGTTTCTATAGATTATTTCTGTCTCACTGAAATTATGTTATTTTCTCCCTTTTTTGCCAGTTGCAAAGACTTTGATTCATTTAAAGTACATTTGAATGAATGTTCATTTATAGTGCTTAACTGACGGCAAATAATCTGCTGGGCTGCACTGGTGCACGGGCTGCATGCACTCTGTGATTTGGAACCCTTAGTAGTTAGGTTGATTTTCTCTTCCTTCAATTTTCTCTGCTTCCCTCTTCTTCGTGAGCAAATGTAAAACCACTTGTAAGTTTAATCAGAAAAAAAAATTCATTGTATTTCAGAGCTGTCTGTTACCTGACATATATATTGGTCTTTATGACATATTAAAAGCAAATGGTAATGTAACTGAAATATTTCTCATTTTTTTTCTGAACAAGAGTTTGTTTGGTTTTGCCCTAGTTGTTGATTCAGTTGTAGTGCCAAGGAACCTATATATATAATATCCACTGCATTGAAATTATATAGTTTCAAAAACAATATACAATCTTAATATATACAGCATACTATCCAGACTCTTGGGGTTGACATACCAAAATATATGAAGTTTCTTTCTTTTTCTTCTTTCTCTTTCTTTCTTTTCCTTCTGTCTTTTATATATGCATTAAAAAATTTAATGAATTTATTCCTCAAACATATACTGTATACAAGACAATGTGTTGGATGTTTCACTTAGGTGATTCTTATACATATTTTGAATTCACATGCTAGATGATGTCCTCTCAATATTGAATAAAAAGTTTATGCTGTTCTGTTCCTTAGATAAATTTGAATTGAAAATATAATAAATCACAACTTAATATTTATCTCAATGAGCTTACAGACTTTGAAAAGAGAGTGGAATTTTTATTTGACGTTATAATGCAGAAGAGTACATGAATTATTAGCCTAATTTTGTATATATACCTCACACAAAATATGGACATTTTACCTCAGAGGAAATGTACTATATATAATAAAAATGCATTTCCTCAAATGAAGTTCAGTGACTCAGGCTCAAGACTGCTTGCTTCAATTTTCATTTATTTTCCTTATGCTGTTATTCATAGCAGAAGAAAAAAAATCTCGTAAGCAAAGACCATTAAATAAAAGTAACTTCACTGAAAAACCTGTGCTTAAGAAAGGATTATCTGATCTACAATTTGGGATTCTGCATGCTTTTAGAAGAATAAGCTCCAAATCTCAGGAAAGTGACATTTTACTAAATGCAAATAGTAATGTAAAGGCATTAAGGAAAATAGAGAATACCGTGAGTCAGAAACAGAGTACAGTGAGGTCTGAATATTCTTCTGACCAAGGAAAATAACTTTTTCTACCAGGAAAATAACTTTAAAATGCCAAATATTTACCATCAAAAATACAATTGGTATTTCATACATTTATTTATCAAAAAATAAGCATTTAACACCCGGGATGTGCAAAACACTGAACTGAGATGATGGTTTTGGCAAAATCAAGTATGGAAAACTTCTATTAATTGCCTGTAATTTCAGTATATCATCTTAGATCATTGGCAATATTGAAGGCAGTAGTACAGTACAGTTTGCAACAGTAACAGGACAATCACTGCATAAGGCAGAAGGGCACTACAATGTAGTGAATTCTACATTAAGTATGTAACCAGATTGAATTGGGTTTAACACCTTGCTCTTCAAAGTGTGTTCTGTGTACCCTCAGGCCATCTATCTAACTTTTCCCACTGTAAGCTCCTTTATATGTTATATAGAACTAAGCTCATCTACATTTCAGAAGTGAATTAGACAATAAGAATTAAAGATTCTGAAATTTTGTTTGATTTAATTCTGGTGATACTGGTGTCACATATTCATTGTTGCTATCACTAATCACAGCCGCTCTCATTAATTTATGCCAACCTTTTCTACTTATATTCAAGTCCTTTTTATTTTTACAAATTGTGTTTTAACCCATATTGTAAACAGATATGGAAATGTTTTTCATTCTCACATTATTTGTTTCTATAGCCTGTCTTCATTTAAGATTGAACTTCAGTCTACTGGCCATAAGTCAAGATAATTAGATCAAACCTAACTACATTTGTGTATCTAATTATCCAACAGAAGACTTCAAATCTATAATTTAATCTTATAATGAACCCCACCATCACCATCTCTATCACAACCTATTGCCACTTAATTAAAGCACATTCTCAAATTCTAAGTCTAGTTATGTTTCTTTCTGCCTAATTACCTCGATGGCATTCTCAATTTTGTGATCCCTTATTTTTAGCTTAGGCCAAGTCTTTTTACTCGGTCAGGTTGTGAATATCCTCATATAATTTTAATCTACATCAATCAAATAATCTATAGGCAGCGCAACAGTGCAGATATGTATCTGACAATATTTATTGCTTAAGTGTGCTACATACAGTGCTGGATGACAGAGCAAAGAATCATGCATCCATTCAAAGTATGAATTACATAGATTCAAATATCCTTTAATCTGAAACATGATTTTGATAGTTATACAGAGAAGAGAGAGGATGGCCTAGAGTCCCTACAATCTTGTGTGCATCATGGAATCCTAAACGAAGGTACGGCCCAATTTCTATGTATTTCATCTTCATTACCCTCTAAACATTTTCTACCAGCTTTAACAGATATGTTAACATACTTGGAATGAGTTATTTCTACAAGATTTTCAATAAAAACAGAAATTCATCTGCTTTTCTTTTATTTTGCACTTCACGCTCACCAGAAGCAACCACTTTTTAATCTCTTTTAAGTAATTATTTTGGTATTTATAATCATGCCTGTAAAAACACATGCTGATGCTATCTCTTCAGATTTTTTTAGTTTTAGGGATGTGCTATTTACTCCTCGTATGCAACGTGACAGTTTAGTTGTTTCCACACACACACCCCTCCCTCAACCTCACTCACCACACGTGCATACTTTCCCTATTCACCTGTCTTCAAAACAGTCATGTTGTAATTTTGTTTAGATCAACATTCATTGTTTACTTTGCTATGACTCTCTAAATTCTGTTCACATCAGAGCCATTCAGTTAACCACAATTAACCTTTCTTCTTACACCACTTTTTGTTTTCCTGAAAGTTAATCATTTGTATGATTTTTATTTACTTGGTATTCAATATTGTTTTTATTAAAGCAATAACGGCAACACCAAACCCTCAGCAATTATCTAATTACCTCTTTGAAGTTTAGACACATTATGTATTCCATCAATTAATATTCCTAAGTGAGTCTTTTCGGGACACTGTTATCCTATGTTTTTCAGATTTGCCAGCCTTCTCCATCTGTTGTACCATGGATCCTCCTTCACCATAATCTCAAACATAAACTATTTCTTTATCTCTTCATTTTTAAATCTTGTTTCTTGTGCCCCATTCCTTTCTTATTGTTTTTTCCCCTTGTTTCAGTAGAGTACATCTTCTAGCAACTATGTTTTGGGGTTTTTCTTTCGTTTTGTTTTTATTTTAGATCCGGTATATATTAAAATGATTTTACACTAACATATGTTTTGGTCAAAAATAGAATTTCAGATTTTAAATCTTTTCCTTCAAATTTTGAAGAAACTACACCTGAAAATTATATTTTCAATCTTGCTATGAAAATAAAGTCATCTTTATTATGTTATTACATATAGATTATGTGTCCCAATTTGTCCAAGAGTGTCCTTTAATGCCTGTTTTTACAGCATAATTATTGCTAGTACCCGCTTTGATATCCAAGAGGTTCTGATTTACATAATAAATTATATGGTTACTCCATTTATCCTGACATTTTCTTCTCTGTAAAATTTTCTTTTTGTTTCATGTGCACTATAATTTAGTGATGATGTGCGTTGCTATCATTCATTGATCTAAGCATTGTCTTTCTTTTTTGAGAAATGTCCTTGCATATTTCAATGATGATTTTCTTCTCTTGGTTCTCTTTTCTATTTCTGAAGTTCTATTATTCCTATATAGGATTGGTCCCCTAATATTTGTGTTTTCTCTCCAGCTCGTTACCTATTTTTTGTTTTAAGCTATTTTCTAGGGGCTTTTTACAACTTTATTTTCAAAGTTTTCTGATAAACTTTTTTCTCTCCTTCTTTTATATTTTTAATGTAGAAGAGCTTAGAGTGCTTATATATTCCCTGTATATTCATTTCTGAACCATATTATGTTCTTGTTCTATAATTGTAATAACATCTATTTCTCTAACATATTAATGCAAAATTTGAAGCTTTTTTTTAACCTTGCATAATTTTTTTTCCTGTAAATTGTGTTTTTTTTTTTCCTCTTTCTTTGGTGGTCCCTTTTTATGTGAACAATTTTCCTCAGGTGTCTGATAACATTTGATTGATTCCCTGTATTCAAGCATTGAAACCTCAAAAGGTGATTATCAGTTATGAGGGCTTGAGACTTAACTATGAACAATAAATATCTTGGCAAGGTGATTTTCCTGGCCCTTAACTTTGGAAAATACCAATATCAGTACATTAGGAATGTCTTTTTGATCTACTCAGATATCAGAAAAGCCCAATTTTTTATTTATTGGGAAAAGGTATTGCTGCTCAGGTTCTAGAAACCAAGTTGGGAATGCTGATCAAAGTGGAGAGGGTGGTGTCAGTATGCGTATGTTCTAATCCATTAATTTCGGTGTATACTCCAATCTCAGCTAAGCATTTGCTATAATGTTATTAAGTCTGCCATCCGGCTGCACAAATGAGAGAAGGTTTTTGCTTCGTATTAAACTGACTTTTAACCACTTAACTTTATTTAAACTAACATGCCTGCAGACACATACTCTCAGAGATTCCTGGTATCACCAAATTTTATGGCTTAGGAGGACTGTAAAGTGTAAAATAGGTTAGTGATTGGCATCCCCATTGCCTGCTTGGGAATTGTTTTCCTTGGATCCATTCTGTCCTTGATCTTTTGCTCATCTGGTCTCGGGTTTCATAACTACACTGTTGACTTTTCTCTCATTCTTCATTTTCTCCTAGATATATGTTTTGAAAATAATTTCCATACTGTTGCATAGAGAGGTTTAAAAAAGAGCAAAACTTGATGTATCTGTTTAATATACCAGCTTTATCTAGATGCTCTATTTGGTTTATATTATTTTTTATTTTTTTATTTTTATTTTATTTTATTTTATTATTATTATACTTTAAGTTTTAGGGCACATGTGCACAATGTGCAGGTTAGTTACATATGTATACATGTGCCATGCTGGTGTGCTGCACCCATTAACTTGTCATTTAGCATTAGGTATATCTCCAAATGCTATCCCTCCCCACTACCCACACCCCACAACAGTCCTGGGAGTGTGATGTTCCCCTTCCTGTGTCCATGTGTTCTCGTTGTTCAATTCCCACCTATGAATGAGAACATACGGTGTTTGGTTTTTTGTCCTTGCGATAGTTTGCTGAGAATGATGGTTTCCAGTTTCATTGATGTCCCTACAAAGGACATGAACTCATCATTTTTTATGGCTGCATAGTATTCCATGGTGTATATGTGCCACATTTTCTTAATCCAGTCTATCGTTGTTGGATATTTGGGTTGGTTCCAAGTCTTTGCTATTGCGAATAGTGCCGCAATAAACATACATGTGCATGTGTCTTTATAGCAGCATGATTTATAATCCTTTGGGTATATGCCCAGTAATGGGATAGCTGGGTCAAATGGTATTTCTAGATCTAGATCCCTGAGGAATCGCCACACTGACTTCCACAATGGTTGAAGTAGTTTACAGTCTCACCAATAGTGTAAAAGTGTTCCTGTTTCTCTGCATCCTCTCCAGCACCTGTTGTTTCCTGACTTTTTAATGATGGCCATTCTAACTGGTGTGAGATGGTATCTCATTGTGGTTTTGATTTGCATTTCTCTGATGGCCAGGGATGATGAGCATTTTTTCATGTGTCTTTTGGCTGCGTAAGTGTCTGTTCACATCCTTCATCCACTTTTTGATGGGGTTGTTTGTTTTTTTCTTGTAAATTTGTTTGAGTTCATTGTAGATTCTGGATATTAGCCCTTTGTCAGATGAGTAGGTTGTGAAAATTTTCTCCCATTTTGTAGGTTGCCTGTTCACTCTGACGGTAGTTTCTTTTGCTGTGCAGAAGCTCTTTAGTTTAATTAGATCCCATTTGTCAATTTTGGCTTTTGTTGCCATTGCTTTTGGTGTTTTAGACATGAAGTCCTTGCCCATGCCTATGTCCTGAATGGTATTGCCTAGGTTTTCTTCTAGGGTTTTTATGGTTTTATGTCTAACATGTAAGTCTTTAATCCATCCTGAATTAATTTTTATATAAGGTGTAAGGAAGGGATCCAATTTCAGCTTTCTACATATGGCTAGGCAGTTTTCCCAGCACCATTTATTAAATAGAGAATCCTTTCCCCATTGCTTGTTTTTGTCAGGTTTCTCAAAGATCATATGGTTGTAGATATGCGGCATTATTTCTGAGGGCTCTGTTCTGTTCCATTGATCTATATCTCTGTTTTGGTACCAGTACCATGCTGTTTTGGTTACTGTAGCCTTGTAGTACAGTTTGAAGTCAGGTAGCATGATGCCTCCGGCTTTGTTCTTTTGGCTTAGGATTGACTTGGTGATGCGGGCTCTTTTTTGGTTTCATATGAACTTTAAAGTAGTTTTTTGCAATTCTGTGAATAAAGTCTTAGATAGCTTGATGGGGATGGCACTGAATCTATAAATTACCTTGGGCAGTATGGCCATTTTCACGGTATTGATTCTTCCTACCCATGAGTATGGAATGTTCTTCCATTTGTTCGTATCCTCTTTTATTTCATTGAGCAGTGGTTTGTAGTTCTTCTTGAAGAGGTCTTTCACATCCGTTGTAAGTTGGATTCCTAGGTATTTTATTCTCTTTGAAGCAATTGTGAATGGCAGTTCACTCATGATTTGGCTCTCTGTTTTGTCTGTTATTGGTGTATAAGAATGCTTGTGATTTTTGCACATTGATTTTGTATCCTGAGACTTTGCTGAAGTTGCTTATCAGCTTAAGGAGATTTTGGGCTGAGACAATGGGGTTTTCTAGATATACAATCATGTCAACTGCAAACGGACAATTTGGCTTCCTCTTTTCCTAATTGAATACCCTTTATTTCCTTCTCCTGCCTAAGTGCCCTGGACAGCACTTCCAACACTATGTTGAATAGGAGTGGTAAGAGAGGGCATCCCTTTCTTGTGCCCGTTTTCAAAGGGAATGCTTCCAGTTGTTGCCCATTCAGTATGATATTGGCTGTGAGTTTGTCATAGATAGCTCTTATTATTTTGAGATATGTCCCAACAATACCTAATTTATTGAGAGTTTTTAGCATGAAGGTTGTTGAATTTTGTCAGAGGTCTTTTCTGCATCTGTTGAGATAATCATGTGGTTTTTGTCTTTGGTTCTGTTTATATGCTGGATTACATTTATTGATTTGCCTATATTGAACCAGCCTTGCATCCCAGTGATGAAGCCCACTTGATCATGGTGGATAAGCTTTTTGATGTGCTGCTGGATTCGGTTTGCCAGTATTTAATTGAGGATTTTTGCATCAATGTTCATCAAGGATATTGGTCTACAATTCTCTTTTTTGGTTGTGTCTCTGCCCGGCTTTGGTATCAGGATGGTGCTGGCCTCATAAAATGAGTTAGGGAGGATTCCCTCTTTTTCTATTGATTGGAATAGTTTCAGAAGGAATGGTACCAGCTCCTCCTTGTACCTCTGGTAGAATTTGGCTGTGAATCCATCTGGTCCTGGACTTTTTTTGGTTGGTAAGCCAATTGATTATTGCCACAATTTCAGAGCCTGTTATTGGTCTATTCAGAGATTCAACTTCTTCCTGGTTTAGTCTTGGGAAAGTGTATGTGTCGAGGAATTTATCCATTTCTTCTAGATTTTCTAGTTTATTTGCATAGAGGTGTTTGTAGTGTTTTCTGATGGTAGTTTGTATTTCTGTGGGATTGGTGCTGATATCCCCTTTATCATTTTTTATTGCGTCTATTTGATTCCTCTCTCTTTTCTTCTTTATTAGTCTTGCTAGCGGTCTATGAATTTTGTAGATCCTTTCAAAAAACCAGCTCCTGGATTCATTAATTTTTTGATGGGTTTTTTGTGTCTCTATTTCCTTCAGTTCTGCTCTGATTTTAGTTATTTCTTGCCTTCTCCTAGCTTTTGGCCTGCCTTGCTAGATTGGGGAAGTTCTCCTGGGTAATATCCTGTAGAGTGTTTTCCACCTTGGTTCCATTCTCCCTGTCACTTTCAGGTACACCAATCAGGTATAGATTTGGTCTTTTCACATAGTCCCATATTTCTTGGAGGCTTTGTTTGTTTCTTTTTATTCTTTTTTCTCTAAACTTCCCTTCTCGCTTCATTTCATTCATTTCATCTTCCATCACTGATACCCTTTCTTCCAGTTGATCGTGTCGGCTCCTGAGGCTTCTGCATTCTTCACGTAGTTCTGGAGCCTTGGCTTTCAGCTCCATCAGCTCCTTTAAGCACTTCTCTGTATTGGTTATTCTAGTTATACATTCGTCTAAATTTTTTTCAAAGTTTTTAACTTCTTTGCCTTTGGTTTGAATTTCCTCCTGTAGCTTGGAGTAGTTTGGTCGTCTGAAGCCTTCTTCTCTCAACTCGTCAAAGTCATTCTCCATCCAGCTTTGTTCCATTGCTGGTGAGGAACTGAGTTCCTTTGGAGGAGGAGAGGTGCTCTGCTTTTTAGAGTTTCCAGTTTTTCTGCTCTGTTTTTTCCCCATCTTTGTGGTTTTATCTACTTTTGGTCTTTGATGATGGTGATGTACAGATGGGTTTTTGGTGTGGACGTCCTTTCTGTTTGTTAGTTTTCCTTCTAACAGACAGGACCCTCAGCTGCAGGTCTGTTGGAGTTTGCTAGAGGTCCACTCCAGACCCTGTTTGCCTGGGTATCAGCAGTGGTGACTGCAGAACAGCAGTGGCTGTAGAACAGCGGTGGCTGTAGAACAATGGTGGCTGTAGAACAGCGGATATTGGTGAACCACAAATGCTGCTGCGTTATCGTTCCTCTGGAAGTATTGTCTCAGAGGAGTACCTGGCCGTGTGAGGTGTCAGTCTGCCCCTACTGGGGGGTTCCTCCCAGTTAGGCTGCTCAGGGGTCGGACCCACTTGAGAAGGCAGTCTGCCCGTTCTTAGATCTCCAGCTGCGTGCTGGGAGAATCACTACTCTCTTCAAACCTGTCAGACAGGGACATTTCAGTCTGCAGAGGTTACTGCTGTCTTTTTGTTTGTCTGTGCCCTGCCCCCAGAGGTGGAGCCTACAGAGGCAGGAAGGCCTCCTTGAGCTGTGTTGGGCTCTACCCAGTTCGAGCTTCTCGGCTGCTTTGTTTACCTAATCAAGCCTGGGCAATGGCAGGCGCCCATCCCCTAACCGCGCTGCCGCCTTGCAGTTTGATCTCAGACTGCTGTGCTAGCAATCAGCTAGACTCTGTGGGCGTAGGACCCTCCGAGCCAGGTGTGGGATATAATCTCCTGGTGTGCCATTTTTTAAGCCCGTTGGTAAAGCGCAGTATTAGGGTGGGAGTGACCCATTTTCCAGATGCCATCTGTCACCCCTTTCTTTTACTAGGAAAGGGAACTCCCTGACCCCTTGCACTTCCTGAGTGAGGCAATGCCTCGCCCTGCTTCACCTTGCCCACAGTGCGCTGCATCCACTGTCCTGAACCCACTGTCTGGCACTCCCTAGTGAGATGAACCCGGTACCTCAGATGGAAATGCAGAAATCACCCATCTTCTGCGTCACTCACGCTGGGAGCTGTAGACTGGAGCTGTTTGTATTCAGCCGTCTTGGCTCCACCTCCTGGTTTATATTATTTTTAATCACCAGTTTTGCTGATCATAAAGTCAGATGACAAAATACAAAATTTTAATTTTATTTCTAATCCGAATTTAAATTTTATGTTGAATACCCATTTAACCAATAGTGGAAAGTCTCATCTTTATGATTCCTAGTAAATTCGTGGTTATTACTATTATTGATTTGTTTTTCTCTGGTCTTTGATACCTGCAGATATCTCATCATAATTTCAAGAACTCTCAAAACCTGGAAATTATTAATGCCATATTTCTGTCACTATACACTGCACAGAATGATGATACTCTATCATCTACCACTTGCTAGGACTGTATGCCCCAAATCCTACATAGGATTTTAATTTACTGCTTTCACATCGTGCTTAGATGGGACAAGAACATCAGTAGAATTCCTGTAAAGTTTGCCACCTTCCCAGTTATTAAAAAAAGTAGGCACAGAATCTCTCTGACCTCAATTCCCTATATCTACCTGCTTTCAATTATTTTGCTCTTTCTTACTCCTATAGCCCAGATATTACTAATTCTCTAAGAAGAGAAAGGAAGGGAAATTAAGACAGATTCTTGACTTAGCATACAATTTTCCTAATATATTATTTAGCTTAGAGGCTAAGATTAAACTTATTTTATTCCAACTTTGTACCTCCCCTCACTGAGGTGCCAAGACAAGATTAGTTTAAATGGAGAAGTGCCAAATGTAAAATAAATTCCAAAGAAATATATATATGTATGTATACACACATTTTTATGATTAGTAGACAAAACGATAGCCAACATTTCAGCTTTATCTGTCATACCTAATAATCATAACAATTTACGTACAATTAATTTACATTTATATAATTTTTTTCCATTTAATATAATATCACTAGTAATGGTACATCATTTTTATTTTCTTTATTTTTACTTTTGAGACAGGGTTTCATGCTGTCACCCAGGCTGGAATGCAGTGATCTCCTTGTCTCACTGCAAACTCCGCCTGTCAGGCTCAGGTGATCCTCCCACCTCAGCCTCTGCAGTAGCTGAGACTACAGGCGCACACCACCATGCCGGGCTATTTTGTGTATTTTTTTGTAGAGAAAAAGTTTGGCCATGTTGTCCAAGCTGGTCTCGAACTCCTAGCCTCAAGCAGTCCTTCTGCTTCAGCCTTCCAAAGTGCTGGGATTACAGGGGTGACTCACCATGCCGGGACATTATTTTTCTTTTCTATTAATATTATTTTGATGAATGAAGTTAGTATACAAATTGTACACAAATTCTCTTTAAACTCTCCAAATATTTTGTTAAGATAAGTTCGAGATGTAAAATTCCTGGATTAAAATTTAAAGCATAGATAATTTTTATTGAATATGACAAAATGATTTCAAGGTAGGTTTCACTAACTCACAATGTGGACAGCTTAAGAGAGTCCCTCTTTTACTATTTACTCACAATAGCTTGTGAGAGTAAGGGCGACCATCTCAGAAATTTTAATCATTTCCTTACTTCAGGAAATATGCTGCTCATTGTGGTAGAAACTAGTTAGGCATAGTAGAAGGTTTAAAGAATATGAACAATCTGCAGAAATTCTTGCCCACATTAGTGAAGCAAAATGCAAACCAAAAATCAGAACAGGCCACTGAAGATCACAATATAAAGAACAAACAAGGAAAAACAAACAAATAAATTAATGCAGGCATAAATATTCTTTGGGGATTTGCTCATGAGATTTAAAAATAAGGACAGATTTCTGTATGTGGTTGCCTCTGAGCTGAATTTGGTAAATGAGGTTGAATATGTCTGCTCTAATTGACATTCGAAAGGCATAATCTTTTCTACCTTAACAATATAATCATGGCAGATGAAAGTGATTTTTAATTATCAGCATTCACATAAATAAGGTAAGAGCAAAAGCTCTTTGTGAAGTACTTCAGGCATATTTTAAATGTCATGAGAAGAGTTTGGAAGAAAATGTCGTAAAAGTCTCTGAGTAACTCTCTGTTACTCTTAGGACTCTATTATTCATCAGTCCAATAATGAAAGGTGATGGGTTCCAGGACAACCATGCCAACTATTAATATCTATATTTATCTATAAGAGATGAGATAAATGAGAAGTAATACCTAAGAGTAAGTGGAAACTGGCAGGGTCTTATACATTTAGTCTGATATTTTGTATTTGGTATATATAATCCAGGAACTTGGACCCAAGACTAATAATAAAAATCTCCTAATCATATCTATGTGATTAGGATCTATTATGTGACAGGTACTATTTTAAGTGCTTTATATATGATTACTTGTTTTAATTATAAAGATATCCCTGTGAGGTGTATATAATTATTGTACTCATTTTTTTAGGTGATGAAAATAGGCACACAGAGTTAAGTAACTTGCCAAAATTCAAAGGTCTGATGAAAATCCAAAAGGCCTAGATTATCTGCTCAAAGCAGACCCCTACAGAAGAAATAACTATTTGGTACTAGTCTTAGTTCCTGGGCAATTAAATGATTTGTACAACAAACCCCTGTGACATGAGTTTACTTATAAAACAAATTTGCAGATGTACCCCTTAACCTAAATTAAAGGATATATATAAAATTAAACAACAATTTTGTGTATTTCTGTCTAGAATAGTGACAGCATTTTCTAGTAAGTGCTATGGTATAGTTATATTGGCATTTAGGTCTGGATAAATGTCTATCTTTACAGTCTGCACATTGACAATCATATGTTGGGTTAACAAATAATATCTATCTTGCTGGGGAACTGAATTAGGACCAGAGCAAATTCCTATTACATGAGTTGTAGAGTTCATCTGAGGCCAATACTATGCGGTTTTTATTTTTAATAGCCAACTATATATGAAAGGAAATGTTAATGTTTTGAGGAACAAATTTTTAGAAAGTTTACTAGATTTTAAAATTTCTATAAATACACACACACATATACAGGTCTTGATATTCAGCTTAACTCTCTTTTTATAGAAAAAGGCTATAATTTATTCATTTCAAATTTTGTAAGTCACCTCCAGCCAATAAAAGTTAGACCACATTTAACCAACCAGTTCCTAGAAATATGAGAATCTGTGGGGTCTGTGGGCAAGTTCATCTAAGGTGGAGGCAAGATGGTTCCATGTAGAAGATTCTCAAGAAGTTTCACTTGAGATGGTACATTTGGGTAATGTGTGCCCATGAAGTGTGTACAATTCCTAAGCTGAAAAAAAAAAAACCAAGACAGATATCAATTTGTGAGAGTGACTGAGAAACACAAATATCAGACTAAACAAAAATAGGAGCAATCCTTTCCTGAAAACATTGTGAAAATGCTTCCCCATTGGTTGAATGCGACTAATAAGTGGAAGGGAAGATGATAGAGAATCATCTTCAATTTTAAGATGACAGATTTTAAGACAATAAGATGATAATAGATGATTTCTATCATCTTAAAAGAGTACTACATTTACATACTAAATCTCTGAAGACTAAGACATCTCCAGAACATTTTTTTTCTCTAGCATAGAACCTGATGATGAGCAAAGCAGCCCCAAATCATCGATATCTGGGTATTCTTACTTTGGGCTTTACCTGTGATTAGAAGATAGGTAAAGAAGAAAGGCACAGTACTTAGGTCTGTTCCCTTAGGTTATATCATTCTTACTAGAACCTAGACTTTCCAAAAGAAGTTCAACTAGATTATGAGAGCTGCCCTGAAAGTGTAGAGCTGACCTCTTAAAATAACTTATTTCAGAATTATCATCATGCCAAACAAATTATCATCGGTGCCAATGATGTGAGAATTGAGCAGAAAGAGCAATGCAACAGGTTTTCTTTTCTGGCCATGCCAAGGTGGAAGGTGATCTTAATTGAAGAAAGAATGCTCAAAGTAGGTATGTGCAGTTTCAGAAGTACAGCTATATAATATCCGCTATGCCTTGTCCAGTAACCCTCTCCTTAATCCTGGCTCTCACGTGGATTGTCCTTCCTATATTATAATCCTCCACATGTCTTTCCTTTACAGAGTTAATCCCGAATTACGTATTTCAAATATCTAATATAGTTGTGTTAGAAAAAGAAATTCTCAAGTTCTGAGATTATGGAATATCCTGAAAGAATGCTAAAGCAACTATACCCCTTAAAGAAAGATCATTATCAACTTGTAGAAAACTAATCCTATAGTGTGGTGAGAATTTTTGGCAGTCATATTGCACCACTCTCATACTTTTAACAATGCATTTGTGAGAACCACCTACAATAAAAATATGGCAATAAGATTAGCAACTAGTGTTATTTGTTATATTTTCCATTCCCATATTATTCGCTAATGTAAAAAAATGCTAAGCATTATTTATCCATATAAAATAAACAACTTCTAAGGTTTTTTTTCAGTTTATCTTTCTTGTTTAGAAGAAACTAACATAAGTGATTTTTGCAGACCTTTTCAAGGAAATTTAGATACAATCCCTCACATATTCCACAAAACAACTTCATATGACAGATATCATTATCCCTTATTACGGTGGAAGAAAATGAAACTTGGAGAATGATGGTCCAATGGTCAAAGGGTAATGGGCAGAACCATCATACCAAGTTGCACTAGTCTAAATTTAAAATCTTTGTTTAAAATCACTGTCTTATATGTATTCTGCTAATATGGATACATAGTACAAATTGAACATAAATAATTTTTAATAATTTATTTTCACCCTGTAACAGTAGCACAGTTATCTATTATGCTGTATTATTTATATTTATTTCAAATAATCAGCTATTGGTGAGAAAATGGCTTTCAGATGAGTTGTTAAGTTTAAATGTCAAATAAAGGCAGATTAAAGCATTTTTGGTTTGATAAAATATTTTAATGTGGTTTAATTAACATAAGTTCTTATTATGATTTCACTTCAGTGTTTTCATGACATGAAAATAGTTTAGCCATCACTCTATGCAGATGTTCATGAATTATTGATCTAATCTCTGTTTAACCAAAATCACATTGCTCCATTTTTTTCATAAATGGTGTATATTATGTAAAAACACAAAGAACTCGATTATTCATGAATTTGAATGATGCTTTAAAAATAAACCAACATTCCTTAAAATAAATTCAAACAATGTTCAGTTACATGAGCGTTATTTAACTTCTAAAAATACATGTAATGGTCATGATTATTAGATATAATTTGTACGTTAAAAACAACACAATGACTACAGAACAAAAGATTTGATTACTGAATTGAATAAATTGTACTCAGGCTATCAGATATTAATTTATCAGACCTCCCTTTCAGTAAATCTGTATATAAACATCTAAGGTGGAATGCAATGAATTTTTATCTTGAATTTATTTTATTTAAAGTGAACTGTGCAAATGTTAAAATTGGACCGCTATAAAATGTTAACTTTGAGCCTGAGCCATAAATCTATTTTGAGAAGGCAAAAATTGGTTTTCTTGTAAACTTTTGTTCCGCTTGAAGTCCTCAAGAATATTCAAGGACAAAAATATGTCTCTTTAATTTAAAAGGGTATCTATTTTTACATGCATGTGAAATGTTGCATGCAGCTTTTCTACCTAATTCAATCCCTTGGTATGCTGCAAAATCGGTTTAAAAACTTTCTTTCTTTATATCATGGCTGAAGATTGTTTTCAAACAAAATCTCCTGAAAGGAGAATGTAAGTATTTTGGAGAAGGAAAAAGCACTGGTTAGTTGGTTGAATAAGAAATACATATAAGTGTGACATACTGCTCCGTCATGTTATTTAGGTGGAAAAATGATGAATATATGATGCTTCTTTTCCTTTCAAGGCAATGCTATGTCTTATCAACAAATACTTACCAGCATGTACATTGCTGCTCAGAAACACATTTGATGATGGATCAGAAGTTTCCTCCTATTTAATGTGGTGATAAAAATAACTTCTAAGTAATTCAGTTCATAGAACCATGAAGGACTGGGTTTGAGATTATGCTTTGAATACCATAAAGTGATGAACACAGAGACTGAGAAAAAAAGAGGAGGAGAAGGAGTGGAAGGATAAATGTATGTAAGAAAAAAAGAAGCAAATAAATATTATAGCTGATTCTTTCTTCATAAGGAGTGTTATTGCTTTTATGAACACACTCTCTGAGAGCTATATTTTATTAAGAACCTATTATCCACCATGTGATTTAAGTAAATTATCACATTTAATTATCACATTTAAATATCACCAATATGTTCTTCATATAGAAGACCTGATAATCGAAACTTAAGTAATTTGTTCCTGATTATGGAATTGGGTACAAGCATGCTTCCTAAACTCATTATTTTCCCATCACTTTAGTTTTGTATCCTGTTGCTTTGAGTCATGAGCTGCATTGATTTGTTCTCTGGTCTTGGGTTTACGAATTCAAATATGTGGGTACTATGGCTCAATTTAAATGCCACATTTTCAGTGAAACATCCCCTGATCTTCCAGGTTGAGGAAATTCTTTTATTTCAGAGCACAGTTCTCAGTTAAGGTCCTCCTTGCACTGTTCCTTGACATACTGTTAATTTTGTAAATATCTTTACTAAACTGTAACTATTTGAGGGCTGTACACTTGTTGTCTCATTTCTACATTCCCTACATCTTTACTAATGTTAAATATGTAATAAGAACTGAGAAAATGACCCATTTATAAATGAAAGGATAAAAGAGGGGGAGTAGTATTATAGCATTAGTTATTAGTACATCTGTTAATTAAATGTCTTTGAAATAGTTGATCATAGATTCTTTAACTTCAAAATTCAAAGTAGGATTCCATTTTGTACTGACATCCTGATTTTCAAAATTTTTTAATAACCTTAATTTTTGCATTGGTGAGAATTTTTCAGTCATCCAAAAATGGAAATGACATTCCAGACTTAATAAGAAACAGGAGAGAGATCAAAAAGGCATGATAGTACAATACATTGTGCTTTGGGGAAATGACACCAAATATTTTTCACGTAGAAGATACTCCTCTACAATTGCATTTGCTTTACAAATACTGATTTATCAGCCAGAAAATATCAGGTTCTAGATGGGCAAATTGCAAATTATTTCTCATTTTGAAAATTCAAACATTTCAGGGAGAGAAATTCTGAAATGTTTAAATTAATTGAACTAAATCAAAATGGAACTAAATCAAAATACATAAAATGGCAATTATGATTATATTAAGTTGTCAAATGACTTCATATAAATGAATATACTAAGTAATGATGAGGGCTGTCATAGAATGAATTGATGTCCACTAAACATTCTTTTCTGTGACCAATCAGAGAAAAAGAACATTTTGTAATAAAAGGTTCTGGTGGCTTACTGTTACAAACTACATTAGATGTGAAGGAGTGATGTTTTTAAAATACTGAGAGAAAAAACATCAACATAGAATTCTACACTCAAATTATTTTAAGAAATTTAGCTGACATAAAACAAATACATTTTAAGAAAAGCAAAAGCTGTAAAGCTAAGGAAATTTACTGTCAGTAGATAGACTTGCACTAAAAAAAAAAGAAAGAAGAGGAAAGAAAAATCAAGGTAGATTTTTTCACCAGATTAAAATTTGGGTCTCAACAAAGGAATAAAGAACGATGAACATGGCAAAAATATCAGAAAATATAAAACATTTTTCTAATCATTAATGCAAATGTAGCAATATATTTAGGGTTTATACATATACATACACATATATACACACGCATATACATATATATACACTATATATACACATATGCTCATATATATACTACATATATGTATATATACTATATATACATATATACTACATATATAGTATATATACTATATATACATATATACTACATATATACGTATATATACTATATATACATATATACTACATATATATGTATATATACTATATATACATATATACTACATATATACTTATATATACTATATATGCATATATACTACATATATAGTATATATACTATATATACATATATACTACATATATACGTATATATACTATATATACATATATACTACATATATACTTATATATACTATATATGCATATATACTTATACATATATGGAAATTATATGTCACCAACAGTATAATAGAAGTCAGTGAGAAATTGATGTGTATATTTGCAAGATTTTCACACTATAAATAAAGTTGTATATTATTCAAACTTGACTGTGATGAGTTAACAATATAGGATGTAAGTTTTAAAGAAATAAAGAAGTATAGCTAATAAGAAAAAGGTGGTTATAAAGCGCAATCACAATATTTATTTAAATAAAAGGACACAGAAAAAGTGGGAAGTACAGAAACAGATTAAACAATTGAAAATTAAATGGCAAAATGGACAAATTTTGCTGAATTACCTTGGTAATTATATTAATTTTAAATGTTTTGAGGACTTCAATTGAAGTCACAGAGTGTAAGAAGGATAAAAACAAAATTCATGGTAAATATAGACAAAATTCTGCATTAATAAAGAAGACTTGAATAACATTACTAACCAACTTAAAGTCCATTTTTTATAGAACATTCTACATAATATTATAATAGTGGTTCATAGTCTATCCAAATACACATGGAATATTCATAAATACAAGAGAACTTATTGGCCACAAAACACATTTTAGTAATTTAAAATTATTGAAATCTTAAAAAGAAATGTTCTTTAATGATGAAGAAACTAATCTGTTAATCAATGACAAAAATTACTAAGTCCACAAATATGTGGATATTAACAAACTTAAAAAGAGGTCAAGAAAAGAAATATCGGCCGGGCGCGGTGGCTCACGCCTGTAGTCCCAGCACTTCGGGAGGCCGAGGCGGGTGGATCACGAGATCAGGAGATCGAGATCATCCTAGCTAACACGGTGAAACCCCGTCTCTACTAAAAATACAAAAAGCAATTAGCCAGGCGCCGTGGCGGGCGCCTATAGTCCCAGCTACTTGGGAGGCTGAGGCAGGAGAATGGCGTGAACCCGGGAGGCGGAGCTTGCAGTGACCCGAGATAGCGCCACTGCACTCCTGCCTGGGCGACAGAGCGAGACTCTGTCTCAAAAAAAAAAAAAAAAAAGAAAAGAAAAGAAATATCAATAGAAAGCAGAAAATATTTTCAATTGAATAAAAATATTTAAAAAATCAGAATTTATGAGATGCATCTGAAACAGGGTTTAGTTGTAAATTTATAAATTTACTTGTGTATTTAACATGAAGGGTTAATGATCAAATTAATGATCTAAATTTTTTCCCAGAACAAAAAAGCTAAACTCATATTAACTATAATCAGGAAAATATTAATAATAGGTGAAATTAGTAAAATAGAGACACAAGCAAGAGAGAAAAACAAAATAAAAAGCTATTTTTTCCAAAAACATTAAGAAAATTCATAAGCTTTTAGAAAGGTCGATCAAAGAAAAAAAGACAAAAATTACTAATCAGAAAACATTAATGATATCATTGCCTGTTTTGTAGAAGCTAAAAATGCATAAAGGCATATTTTTAAAAACTTAATTTTTATCACTGTAGATCATTTTGCCAGTTTTCACATATAATATATTGAATTAAGCAATATGTACTTTTTTATATTCAGCTATTTTTCTCCAACATTATATTTTAAAGTATTTATTCATGTTTTTTGGTGTATCAATAATTCATTTTTATGGTTGAGCATTATTCCATTATATAAATATACAAGAAATATTTATTCATTCTCTTGTTGATGGATATTCGTATTGTTTCCAACCATTATACACACACACACACACACACACACGTATACACATACACACACACTCTCTCACAGCCACTATAAGTATACAGTTTTTCCATTATTATTTTTAGTTATATTAGGTTGGTGTAAAAGTAATTGTAATTTCTGCAACTGAAAGTAATGGCAAAAACCGCAATTACTTTTGCACCAACCTAATAGCTGTCTATTCTGGGTTTTAGCTGGATATGCCACCACTTAGTCACAAACTACATTTCCACTTTCCTTTTAAGTTAGATATTGCCACATAACTATGTGCTGCACAAGGGGACATAATTAGAAGGGATGTGGGTACTTTTTAAATAATGCATTTATAAAGGTTTTGCTCTTTGCTTATTACTTCTTCCTTCAGGCCAAAACATAAGCATTAAGCATTATTTTGGGGTGCTAGCTTTGACTATTTTCTTTCCCAAAGAACAAGATACAAAGAACCTAAGTTCCTGACTGGTCCCAGGGAGTAGCCCTCCTTCTATCCCCACCTTGGAAATCTTGCCTTTGGATTTTTACATAAGAATAATTAATCTTCTACCTATTTTGAGCCTCTGTTTTTTCTGCTGTCTTTGTTACATCAGCTTGAACTATATCCTAAGCAACACAACATACATTTTCATTGTTTACATCTTTGATATAAATATATGCAATACAATGATTCTCTAATTTTATTAGGAGAACAATCTGCTTATTATTTTCAAAAGCAGATTCCTAGGATCCATTTTAGCATACTCTGATAAGTTAGGGCTGGAATGGGACCCAGGTATTCTAGATGAATTTTATGTGCAAGGTTTGGAGACCACAGTTTTAGACAAACTTTTCTGTATTTTCCTATGCCTGGGCCAAATAGTAACTTTTTTCACATCAAATGCAAATGACATGTCTTGTAATAGAATGATATATATTAATGTATATGTAGAGGAAAATGTCATGTATTTCCAGAAATAAACAGATGTCTATTAGTAGAAAATCACTACTGAGAGTAAATGACCTTGTACAATTGCAAGATCAATTGCACAAATTCAATTCTTTGTATAAAAGTTTCACTTAACTCAAGCCACTCTTCTTTTCTTACTACCATTCTATCCAAGGCATGTATTCCATATAGAACAAATACTTTTTCTCAAAATTCAAGCCAAAACATCTTACCAATTTTATTTTGCACATTTGTGGCATGACAAAAAACTTAAATAATATGTCCAATAATCTAAAGAGAACACAAAGAAAAGAATTTACAGAACTTGGAAACATGGAAAAAATTATCCTCTAAGATACTATTTTATGCACTGTTATGGGCTGAATTGTGTTGCCTTAATATTATCATGTTGAAACCCTACCCCCTAGTAACTCAGAATGTGGCCATATTTGGAAATAGGACCTTTAAAAAGAATATAAATTAAAATTGAGTCATTGGGGTGATTCTTAATGCAATACGACTGGTGTCTTTATAAGAAGAGGAGATTAGGACACAAAGAACAACATGCAGAAGTGCCATATGAAGACACCAAAAGAATAGCACCATCTGTAAGCCAAGGAGAGAAGTCTTAGAAGAAACCAACCATGCCACCACCATGATATCAGACTTCTGTCTCCAGAATTATGAGAAAATAAATTTATGTTTAAGTTATTCAGTATGTGGTACTTTGTTATAGTAGTTGTAGCAAACTAATACACAAGGCTAAAATACACACACACACACACACACACACACACACACATTAAACTCCAGAAAGTTGATTACCTTGCTTGGCACCTTCTTGGTTTGTTTGTTTGTTTGTTTGTCTTGTTTTCTGTCAATGTACATATACCATAGCCATTTTGCCATTTTCTTTCTATTACCAATTGATGAATAATTTTCCTATTGTCATCTCCTTAAACTTGAAGAAAAGATCATGCTCCATAATTACTGTTCTTAGTGTTCTAAAGTTCCAGAAACATATAGATAATTGGGAGCTTGGATTACAGAGCTACTTTACTTGATTCAAATCTAGTTTTGACAGTCTTTAACTTCTTAGTTTGAGGCTAGTGCTTTCATAGCTTTTAAAATTGAGATAAGAATAGTGTCTACCTTAAAATGTTATTGTATTGATTAAATGAGATAATACATAGAAGGCACAGAAAAATGTGCATGACCAATAGAAATGTATATGATCATAATAATGAATTCAAACTAGAATCCTCTTAAGAGTGATACAGGGTATTCCTCATACTCATGCCACTACACAGTCATAAACTGGGCACAGGTAAACATAAAATATGCCATGGATATCAGTTGTTTTTATTATTAATAAGTGATAAGAATAGGAAAATAGATATTGTTAATGTCCCTGTAGTTCTTGACACAGATTACAGTTTTTAGTCACTTCTATATAATTTCATGACCCCTCTCACCCATTTTGTAACATGATCAAATCCATTTAAAGCCTTCAACACAGGCATTTTGGGATGACTTTCCTGATTATATTATAGCTTCCCTAAAAGCTCAAATCAAGTTTGTACCAGATAATACTCACATCACTCCTCAAATAAGACATAGCTGTCTGTTAAAGGATCAGTCTGCCTTTTATTACATGATCAGGAACTTAGATATTCTTGCTCCCAAAAATGTGAAATGAGATATAAACTTTCTGGGCGGTAAGTACTGGGCCTATAAGATCATGTTGATTCGTGGTTGGTTTTTAAGATCAGCCTTGTACATGCAGAGAGGGTTGCACATAAGTGCTTGTGCCCTAGGTTGTCGTCTCAAGCTTATGAATAGCCCAATTTTACTCGTGTGGTTTATCTTGTGTGGTTTCCTTTATTTCAGCCAAGGAATCCTTAAACTACTCAGATGAAAACTATTTTAGAAATAATCAACAGGAAGGAATATATACTAAGAATAAGCATGCATACTCTGAAAGAAAGTTCAATATCTCAACACAGGCACACTTAACGATTACAATATATAAAGCTAGTTGCACGTAAAGCACTCTGGCAATAAACCTTCAGTAGAACAAATCATGGTTGCTTTTTTGTTTGTGTCTTTTGATTTGTTACTTTAAAATTTTATTAATCCCTATACAAAGCTCCCCAACTTAAGAAAAAAAAAAAAAGACTTTGGCAGGCTTTTCAACTAAACCTAAGAAAGAATGCATTTTAAAATGCTTTTAAGATGTTCACAAAGGCATGATAAATGTGCAAAGAATTAACAATTCACCTTACTTTCTATTCATTACATTAATGGTTTGTGGATAAGAAAAGATTTATGCTCATGAATGCTATGCCTCAATGTTTAGACAACTTATCCTTGCCAAAGCTGACATGAATGTAGATAAATATTGGTTTTTGACAGATTCGGATTTGCTTCAGAAATTATCTGTCAGGAGGTTGGAATGGGTCAGGTTAAAAAATATATTTATTCTTATAACAACCATCCATACCAAAATTAGATTCCCATCATTTTCAATTTTAGTGTCTGAAAAAAATGAACCTCTAAGACCCTTTTTATATTTGGAAGTAATAACCACACAATTTAATCTCCCTTAAGTAGCCATATTCTTATTTTTTTATAGGCACAGAATGTGTCTGCGTAGAAATTGCAATTTTAGGCCTCAGAACTACAGTATTTCATGCTGTGAGGTCTTTATTTTATGTGACTGCATTTGACATGTTCCCTAAAATTCAGATCTAGAAAAATAGTTTTAGAAAAAAAAAATCATGTGAAAAACAGCTTGCCTTTTACAGAATATCTTTAAAAACGTATTTCTAGCTTTAAGTTTCAATTTAATCATCACTTATTTCTCTGACGCTGTATTATTTTTTCTTAACCTTTAAACCCCCAAATAAAGAAACCATGTAATTTTATTGCGTGTGTGTGTCTGTATGTTCAAAGAAACCTGACACAACTGATCTGCAATTAAATTGTGAATGATACTAATGGATGACAGATCCAAAGATTTTTGCTGCCCCAATTCTTCACCTGTTTCTTCTGAGTACTTCCCAATATTTTTCCAAAACTGCCATTTTGTAGTAAGAAACGTCATGGTTGATGGATGATAATATCGGTCAAGTTGCTCAAGCTTTATTCCTCCATTTCAAATTGCTAGTAACTAATCTAGTAATAATTCACACAGATAGTTTGGGAAGAGGCAAGGCGTGCTTCCACTAGCTTCCTAGTTTTCTGCTCTTCTCATTCCCCACAACTGGCGTTAGACAAACTACATTCAAATTTAGATGGAAATACGAACTTTAGATACATTTAAATGTTTAAAATACTCCAATTACAATAGTAGTAACTTCTTACGAATCTTAAAGTTCTCTGAAAACTATTGTCTCTCTTGCAATTTGAAAAGCTACTGTGAGTGGGTCCCAGCAGCTCTGGATGTTGAAGGAGGGACAGCTGCCAGGCAGCCTAGCTTCTAGAAGGCTCTTGGGGCACTGTGGCCCACAGGCACCTGACATGCACCCTCCCTGCTGCAAAAATGCCCGAGTTAGAGAGGTTGTTCAGGAACAACCCCAGAGGAGATCGGTGAGGTTGTCAGTTAAACCTCCTCTGAAAAAGTGGAAAAAAAGCCCCAAAAAGGCAGCAGGAAAGGATAAATCTTCAGACTAAAAAGCGCAAAGGGGGAAGACGGAAGAAGTGGATAACCAGGAAACTGAAAGATTTACCTGCAGAGAACAGAGAAGATACAAACGAGAAGAATTCAGACTGTGGTGAAACAGGAGAGAAAGAAGCCAAATATGATTAATATCTTATACCACCTATTATCAGTTGTTTCCATCTCCCTTGTTGTATAATCCAGAGGAGCATTTTTATCAACTATTTTGTAAATGCAAGTTTTTAGAAGCTCTAGAAACATTTCATTTTTTAGTTGTTTTTAATTTTTTGGTACAACCAAAAAATACTGAGATACTGAATTATGGGAGATGTTGACTCCCTTAAGCGTCAGCTTAACTTTGCAAAGATGGGGTGCAGTAGTTTCTATATCCTATAATACAAGCATACTAAATGGCAATTTGGAGCCACAGTCGCACATTTAATATGTCTTGAACATTTTAAATTACTTCTATTCCCATGTTGTTTAGTACTAATTGTTTCCTGAAGAAATCCACTCCTTGATCTTGGCTCTCCCTGTCAGAATTGTATAGACTCTCTAACTCCTTTAAGAGTCATAGTCCAGTTTTCCCGATAACATTGTTAACGTGCTGTGAAAGACTGAAATTTTGATTAAGTAGTATATCTTACGTTAAATTATAAATTAGAGGGACTTATGTGACAGCTTATCAACATTTCCTCTTAAGAAAAATTGCCTCCAAATATTCAGCTGGAAAGTCATTGGAATAACATCTTAGAAAAGAATCGCAATATGCCTCTTTGTACGTGATTTGTTCAAAATCATGTACAAATTCAAATGTCTGTGTACTGACCCTCAACACAACCAACAAAATCACCATAAAATTATGAAAGAAAAAAACAGAGCTGAAGTGAGTACCTAAAAACCAGCTCAGAAGGCAACACGTGTATATTTTCCCTAACAACTCTGCCCCACTTTTATAACCCTTTGACCCACGCCTTACCTTCTGACATCTGTGTTTAAAGAGTTTAAGAGAAATCATTTTCCCATATGAAATAATTAATCCCACTATTTTCCCTGAGTTTAAACCAGTGAAGAATAAACAAAACCTTCAAAAAGGGGTTAAAATATCAGCCTTTTTTGTCGAGAGTAATGCTGTACTGCAGAACAAACTTGGGATCTATTGCCACAGTCATGGTTTCTGTTGTGAATTTAGGCGCTCATATTTGTAGACTTCTCAATGGCAGAAACAGAGCCTACTCTGGTAATCTCCTATTCAGAAGAAAGAAGAATGATTTCTATCACCAGAGGAAAAAAGGCAAAGCAATAACAGCAACATTTATCATCTTTGCTACACTCAATAGAGAAGTGGTATTGTGGATGATAGATTCTCAATATCTGATAAATCACTTCTCTCATGGAGGATAAAGTATAATGGATGAAAAGAAAAGAAGATATGTTCCTTCAAAGTTGTTTTCTTATAGGCATGGAAATACCTTTAAGGTATGAAGAATATGGTTTATTTAAAACTCTGGGCAATATTCCTATGGTTTCCTTTAATTGGTTCACTGATCTTGGCATCCTGGTCACTCACATTTGCATGCACACTTTATTTCATTGCTTATTATCACATTGTTAACGTCACTTCATTCCCCAGCCCTGACCCCTTCAAATCCATCTTGGCCTGGGCAGCTAAGTTTCACTAGCAGATGGAAGAAGGATAGATATACCTGTTTTATAATTTTTAGTGTGGATTTCAGGGTGAACTACGTAATTTGCAGGACCCACTGAAAAATAAAAGTGCAGGAAGTTTTGTTCAAAAAACAGGAAAAAATTCCATTAAAGGTAAAATATAAAGCCTTTTTTTTATCATTCCATGGTCTCTCCCTCAACTTGTGATGGTGTTTTTAATTTGTGTTCAATGTTGTTTTAAATAAAAATGTAAAATATTAATTATTAATATGAATTTTGCCATTCATGTTGATATTATATAATGCCAGGTTAAATGCAAATATAAGAGCATTAAGTAACATGCAGAATCACCAAAATGACACAATTCATATTCCATAGTTTATTCATGCATTTGTATTTTGTTCTTGCCAAAATGGTGGAAATACTGCACAAAACTAACTCAACTATTTTTCTTTTACTTTTCAATACATGCACATTTTACCAACACTATCTACCTTTGGCTTACTAATGAGTACAGAAGGAATTTTTAAAAATGAATTACTTTATCTTTCCTTGTCCTTCTATGTCATCATTTTCAATATGAGTGATTAGCCAATACAGGGAAGCAACATGAGTAGGAAATTATATGAGAGTTCCTAGATCCCTTATCTTACTTAGAATGCCATTGTCTTCTTCCTATGTTCAAACTAGGCTTTAGTTCAGACAGAAAGTGTGTCCTCTTGGATTTGTCAGTGCTCTTGCTTTCTCAGTCATGGATGTAACATACTTACTATGCACTTGCTTTGAGATTCATTGAACTCCCATATGTAATGACACACCTGGAACCTGATGTGCATATGTTATACAGTGAATGTTATATGCAAATGGGGGAGCAAAGAATGGCAGATACGCATATTGCACATATCCCTTCTGTTCACACATATGCTCTGTGGTCCCACTGGCAAGAGACAAGTTCAAATATAGAATTACAGCAAATCATTAAAATAAGTATGTAGTCTGATTTTGGGATGCTAAATGCCTGCACAGGTCTCACATCTATGACACCAGCCCTGATAGACCTTTCAGGCTTTCTTTTTATTCATTAAATAATTCCCAAATATACTACAAATATTTTATAGGCCCTTCAACTCTGAAATTACCACCTCCTACCATAGATCCCTCATTATTTCTCTTTTCTCTGTGAATCCACTTTTGCAGTAAACATGACTCCAAACTACAGAATCATTGTCTATTTTTTCTCTTTTTTTCTTGTTTTTATGTTTAATCAGTCTAGAATTGTTTTTGTTGGTACAATTTTATTTGTAATATTAGGAAACTACTTCAGATTGGCTTAAGGAAAAAAAAACTGGAATTTGTTGGCTCATATATCTGAGAAGGATATTTGGGGAATTCATAGAATCTAAAGAAAGAGCTACATGAAACAAGATTGTGGTTTTAATATCACCAAGAAACTGACTCCCCAACTGTGTTTCATTTCTTCTCATTTTTGCCAACAGCTTAGACCCAAATGACTTAATATTTACAAATCACTTGAAGAGCATTTCCTACATAAGTGTTCAGTTTAAAGTAGTATCATTATTTATTGTTACTATTATCATTATTATTACATCTATGTAAGAGTAAGAGGAGGCCACCCCCATCAACCCCAGTTTGGCTTTTTTGAGGGGAAGGACTTCTATTTCTCAGGTTGGATCAAAGTTTAGCACCAAGGGGAGCGGGAAAGTGTTGATGTTTAGAAAGAATTCAGATTGTTTGCTCCCGTAGAATTATAGGAATTGAGATGGAAGCTCGTATTAAGGAAATAGACTTATTCTTTCCTGAAAAATGGGAGAAATCAAAAACAATGGCTATGTCAGTTTATTATGCTCCTGATGCATGCTGCCACAAACACTTTCGTTTTTTCATTTTCTTTACCACTTCCCTATTTCGGGACATTAATTCGTCCCATAAATAATTTCCTACAATTCTATTTTAATTTATTATTCCACCTCTATTGTATCTCCCTTACAATCCTATAGAAAATTATTGTATGAATTTCCTTTCATGCAAAGCTCTGATTCATCACTATGCTGCTCAAGCACAGTTAATGCCTCTCCATTGCCTAAAACCTAATATATGAATTCTGTACATTTCCTGCATTTCCGACTCTAATCTCTTTTTTTTCAGCCAAAACCCTTAGCCCTGTAGTTTTGTCAAATCAAACAATTCATTTATCTCAAATATGCCTTGCAGTTTCTGGTCTTTTAGCTTTGTTTAAATTGATTGCTCAGCTTCAAATATACTACCTACCAATATATCTCTCTTCCCAAATTAGACAACATGAATGAAAATATTTTTTAACTATAAAACATAGTGTAACTATTACCATTATTACCATTCACCTTTAAGGTCTGTTTTATATGCTAAAGATCCCTGATAAAATCTTCCACTAATGTATTAATTTTTTAAAATCATCTCTTATGTTTCTGTTTTCACAGTAATATTTTTCTATCATTGCTCTTATTTCCATCTTTGTTCTAATATAATTCTCGTACATATTATATTTTAAATGATGTAATCTTCTTGGGGATAGTCACTCGGTCCAGTTTATCTTGTGTCTATTAGAGAAGGCCCCATAGGTCAAATCCAGCCAGCCACTTGTTAGTTTCCTTAGAAAACAATTTATTGCTTATATATACCTACGGTCACTTTTGCACTACAATAGCAGGGTAGTGGCATCACAGGTTGTATGGCCTGCAAAACTTAAAATATTTATAATCTAGCTCCTGTCCAGACTATCACATGATATTTATCAGGTAGTCAAAGAGCATGATTTGAATAAATCCATATGTATTTATTCATATTCAAACCAGACTATGAACATGCTATTTTCTGAAAGTTTTATGGAAGGACATTTTAATTTTTGATAGACTTTGTACTGAGTTTTCTATGAAATCCTAAAGGGTCTAGTTTAATATTACTCTGACAAAGTTTAATATATTTCTTGAATTGAATGCTACATATTTTGTAAATTTGTTCTATTAGGTTTGTTTTATTTGATTTATTTTCAAACAACATTTTAAAGCAAGTCAGAGACATAGGAAGAAATATAATCATAGACTAAATATTATATGAGAAATACATAGTATTTAGGTCTCTCACTGAGGTTTGGAACAAAAATGGTGAATGTGATTTATTTTGTAACTAAAATGCCAATGTAAATTAATGTTTACTTCATTCATGAGCAATCAAGATATTGCATAGTAGGAGATACATAAATCAAAATCACTTCATCTTTCTAAGTTATATTGCAGTTGATTATGTGACATTTTAAACCTAAAAATATCAAGAATTGTTTAAAGAAAAAGCAGCCAATATTCCCAAGAAACTTATGAAGTTGGCTTGCAGTCAACTTTAAGTGACTGCAAGAATCCCCGAAAAGTGACCTGCCCGAATCCCAATTTCTACCGTATATAGATTATAATTCAACAATTAATCCTCACTATAATAAAAATACTAGTCACTGATTTTCTGCCAACATCAATTCTGAAGTTAGCAAGATGTAGATAATTGTGAAATGTTTTGTTTCAAAATTTTCTTTCTTAAGCATACTACCTACACCACTTACTTTTTCTCAGAATATATTAGAGATTCATAGACTAGAGACTATAGACAATTTCTAGAATAATCTTGAATTCCCAGAAATGATAGGCAAATTTTATGTGTATTCTGGAATGTTGCCAAGTTTCATTATCTTCTCTGAAGAATCCGTGACTTTCAAAATGTTTAGAAATCCACTTTAGGTGATTTCATTCATTTCCATAATCATCAATCTGTTAAAATTTTCCAAATTAGTTTTTAGCTTAAAAGCTCCTTTGAGTTTTAGACTTAGATACACACAATGGTCTATACACCTCTCTGCTGGATTATTCTATAGACGCTGACACTCAACGTTCAATAATGGAAACGCATATATTAACTTTCCTAACTTGTTCTCTTCTTTCCTGTCTGTTAGGTGGAGGAGTGATATTAGGCCTCACCAGGTTGTTCAAGCCCTGAAACTTGATACCCTACTGAACTCAAGACCCCAAACCAAATCAATCACAATGCCCTCTCAAGTATACTTTACTAAATATATATTTGATTTCATTTCAAATTTCTTTACATGAGTTAAAATGTAAGTGATTCAAATTCTGGCCCTGTTTACCACTCTAGCTCCATTTAAGGATGTCTTCCAACCTGTGTACCTTTTTATTTTCAGGTTATATTATATGTTAGTTTCCTGGAAAGCTTTAATGATTCGCTAAGATTTGGCTAAGTGTCCTTCCTACATGTTCATTTAAAAACTATCATCTACTATTATATCTCTAGCACCTAGCATAATGACAGAACATAGAGAAGAATTATTAAATGTGCATTTATTATAATGCCAGATAAAGATAGTGAGATGAAGGGTAAGCACAAATACTTATGACAGGAGTATTTAAGAAAATAACACAAAAAAAGAAAAAGGAAAGAAAATAAATTTAAAAAAAGAAAAGAAAATAGCTTCATTTTCTTTAGTTGGTAAAGAAATCTTGAGTTCAGTAGGGTATCAAGTTTTTTTAGTTGGTAAAATGAAGCTATTTTCTTTCCTTTTTCTTAATTTATTTTCTTTAGTTGGTAAAGAAAACGAAGCTAGTTAGAAAGAAAGCGAGATGAGCAAATAAGAGAATGCCAGGAAGATAAGAAGAAAATAAAGGAGTAGGAAAGAATAGGGGGAGAGAAAGACAAAGGAAGAGGAGAAAGGAGGTGTTGATGTGATTGAGTTTAAATGTGTGAATCTATTGTTTATTCTATATTTCTTAACTTTTTAAAATACTTTTTCCTGCCTTCATAGAATTTAGAATTTTTTTTTCGGCTTTTCATTCTATCTTTGTTATTGACCTATGCCTGTTTTTTTTTTTTTTAAGATTTTCTCTAGAATTTACATATGCGTTATTAACTTAATACAGTTTGCTGTGAAATAATATCATACTTTTTCAAGTATAGTGTCAGAAAGTTATGACAGTATATTTCCACTTTCCACTTTCTCCACTGTATTGTTGTATATTTTACTTCTCTCTATATATATATTTATAAATCCAACAATTTTTTTTGTTTTAGTAATTAATGTGTCTCTTAAGTAAATTTAGAAACAAAGCAAAATAGTCTTTTATGTTTGCTCCCTTATTTATGATTTCCAATGTTCTTTCTTCATTTCTATTGTTCCCAATTTCTAATTCTTTACCCTCAGCCTGAAGAACTTCCTTTAGCATATCTAGTGCAGGTTTGTCAATGATCAATTATTTTATATTTTGTGCATTTCTAAATGCCTTAAGTTAATTTTCAATTTTTAAAAAATTTTTTGGTTTGATGAAAAATATTCTGTCCTCTGATTTTTGGTAAAAACCAGCCGTTTAAAAATCTTTATGCCCCCAAGAGTATTGTGTCACGACTTACACTGCTTTTAAGAATTTTTTTTCTCTCTCTCTTTTTTTATACAAACAGTTTGCTAAGGTTTACCTAGATATGATTTTACTTTGCCTTGGAGTTTGCTGGATTTATAGTGCCTTTGGTTGAAATTTATTATAAGTTTGGGAAATTATTCGCTATTATTTTGTTCAATTAATAAACTTTAATTTTACAGCAGATTTAGGTTCATAGCAAAATTAGGCAGCAAGTACAGAGGGTTCCTATATATTCCCTGCCCCCACACATACCCAGCCTCCCTATTAACATTCTGCATTATAGTGGAATATTTGTTATGATTGATGAACCTACATTAACATATCATTATCACCCAAAGTCCATAGTTCACACTAGGGTTTACTCTTGGTGGTGTACATACTATGAGTTAGGACAAATGTATAAGGACATGTATCTACAATAGTTGTATCATACAGAAGAGCCTCACTGCCCTAAAAATCTTCTGTGCTTTGCCTAATCATCGGTTTCTACACACCCAATCTCTAGTAACCATGGATCTTTTCACTGCTTTCATAGTTTTGCCTTTTTCAGAATGTCATATGCAGTAATACATTATTAGCCTGTTTAGATTGGCTTTTTTCATTTAGTGATATGCATTTATGTTTTCACCATGTCTTTTCATGGCTTGGTAGGTCATTTCTTTTTAGCACTAATTAGACTACCACATTTTATATATCTATTCATCTTGGCTGCTTCCGAGTTTTGACAATTAATAATAAAGCTGCTATAAATTCATAGCCGGACTTTTTTTTTTCTTTTTTCTTTTTTCTTTTCTTTTTTTTTTTTTTTGAGATGGAGTCTCGCTCTGTCCCCCAGACTGGAGTGCAGTGGCGCCATCTCGGCTCACTGAAAGCTCCGCCTACCAGGTTCACACCATTCTCCTGCCTCAGCCTCCCTAGTAGCTGGGACTACAGGCGCCTGCCACCACGCCCGGCTAATTTTTTTGTATTTTTAGTAGAGACAGGGTTTCACCGTGTTAGCCAGGATAGTCTCAATCTCCTGACCTCGTGATCTGCCCGCCTCGGCCTCCCAAAGTGCTGGGATTACAGGCATGAGCCACCCTACCCGGTCAACTAATAGCCAGACTTTTACATGGATATAAGTTTTCAGTTCATTTGGGTAAATACCAGTGAAGGCAATTGCTAGATCACATGGTAAGACAATGTGACGTTTTGAAGGGAACTGCCAAATTGTCTTCCGATATGGCTATACCATTATGCGTGCCTAGCAGCAATTAGTGGGAGTTCCTATTGCTCCATATCCAGTTTGGTTTAGACATGTTATGGATTTTGGGATTCTAAGATGTGTTCAATGGCCTATGTGTTTTGGTTCTCTCTGAAGAATTTATTTTAATATGTTGGTTCTCTCTGAAGAATTTATTTTAATATGTCTTCCAAGACTGGTCTACTCACTCTAAATGGCCCCAATTTTTGTTTGAAAATGGTTTTATTTCTCCTCTACATTATTTTGGCTTTATAAGTATTTATTAAATTTGTGTCTTATTTTGCATAATATTTATTTTTGTTGATTGGATGACCAATAATGCCAATATAATGTAATCATCATATGAAATGCCCCAAGACACAATATTATTCCCTACATTTCTTATGTCAGCTACATCTCGATAAAGCTGATCGTGGAACTTAAAATAAAATAAAATTTTAAAATTAAAAAAATGTAAAAGCTATGTTCTTACAAATGGCTAAAGTTGGTAAAACATCAGTGATAACTGAATTTTATGTTTATTGGGAATATCTGGGTATTCTGTTTGTGGATTGATAATGTTTCAATGAAAATTTTACTTTTTGTCTTTTAAATAAAATTAAAAATTATTGTATTAAAAAATTAAAAAATGAAGTGGATATCCAGGAACTTTAATAAGCAGAGTACATCACCTTACAATCATAGGTATATTTCTAGCTTAACATAAAATGAAATATAGTCAGCTACTCAATAAAAATCATTACTTATGTTATTTCTGAAAATGTTCTACTGAAAATACATACACATCCTCTTATTTTGGGAGATAATTCTACAGGATTGGATATTCTATGTTGTTGGTCTTTTTTAGTCTCAACACTTTAAATATGTTATTCACTGTCTTCTTCCTTGCATGGTTTCTGAGGAGAAATCAGATATAACTCTCACTTTTCTCCTCTATGGATTAGCTGTTTTGCTCCCCGACCCAGTTTCTTTCAATATTTTTTCTCTTTTTCTCTGGTTTTCTGAAGTTTGTGTGTGATATACCAAGACATTGATTTTTTGGCATTCATCATGCTTGACATTCTCTTACTTCCCTGGATCTGTAATTCTGCATCTAACAATAATTTGGGAGAGATTGATTGTTTCAAGTATTACTCCTTTTACTTTCTTTTATCTCCTTTAATCCCATCACTGGCATCCAGCCTTCATCCATTACAATTTAGGTTTTCCTACCCTGAACTGGTTTGCATGGAAGTTTCTGCTCCTGGGCTTCTCCTCCAGTAAGTTATGACTTACCATCTCTCTGTCTCTTCCAGTTTTGGGGGCAGTAGTTTGCCCTGTTACCTCTTCTTTCCCAGATCTAAAAAGAGTTCTTCATTTTTCAGTTTTGGTTGGCATTTTATATGTTTTAAGGTGGAGTGTTGGCTTCTAAATTTCTTACATGCCAGACTGGAAAAGAGATTTTATGTTTCAAATAGTCTTTCTGAGTCTTTGTCTCACTTCTTTTCAGACTTTCCAAATATATTAATTTTGGATAGGCTTTGTACTGAGTTTTCTACAAAATCCTGAAGTTTCTAGTTTAATATTACTCTGACAAAGTTTATGTGCCTGGCCTATTTTTTTTTTCTTTTTTGAGATGGAGTCTTGCTCTGTCACCTAGGCTGGAGTGCAGTGGCGTGATCTCGGCTCACTGCAAGCTCCGCCTCCCGGGTTCACGCCATTCTCCTGCCTCAGCCTCCAGAGTAGCTGGGACTACAGGCGCCTGCCACCACGCCTGGCTAATTTTTTGTATTTTTAGTAGAGACGGGGTTTCACCATGTTAGCCAGGATGGTCTCGATCTCCTGACCTCATGATCTGCCTGCCTTGGCCTCCCAAAGTGCTAGGATTACAGGCGTGAGCCACCGTGCCCGGCCTGTCATTGTCATTTATATTAGTCATATCTAAGCATTTCTTATTATACTTTAATTCTCTTTTAGATATATTTCTGGTATATGGCAAAATAATGGATTTCAGTTCTTAAGCCAATAAGCTTTCTTTTACCATTTAATATGTTAATTGAATCTCTTTCACTGCTGATAATAACTTTTACACTGGTTTTAATTTTGTCGTTATGGGGAAACAGATTTTTTTTTTATTGTAATCCTCAGACCTTTGTGATAGAGGATGTTAAATCAGTTCAGGGGTGGACTGTAGGATAAGAGCCTTACCTTGGCAAGCTGGGATAGCAGTAATGTATGGAGATTCTCAGGCATTAACTCTGCTTTCTCCCTCTAGATGAAGATGTGGCCTTCCTGACTTTAAGTTTGGCTTAAGAATAATGGATAGACTTGATGTCTATAAATTTAAAGGACATGTATTTGAGTCTAACTTCTTTCTGAGTCTGTACGTAAGAACAATGTGTAAAGGAGGTTATGTAAAGGAGAAAATACACTTGTTAAGTCAGAATGGACCCTCTCCTAAGGATTTGTTTACTTCTTCTTATGCAATGTCCGAAACTGTGGGCTTTTATTAATCTAGCCCTTATACTTTCCTATTTTCCCGTATTAACATTGTTAATCTGAGATGGCGAACAACCAATTTAATACGCTCTCTCTTTCTGGGGAGAGAGGCCAATCACATTTTAGGCCTTTTGAAGGTAGCCAGTTTCCCACCTGAAGTTCCTATGTGGTCTCTTTGGGAAGTGATTTTGCCAGACTCTAACTTTGAAATTTTGAGTGTTATTACATTTGCTGACACTGGAGAGAAATCCTGTATTATTATGATTTAATTCTACTCTCAACAGTTATGATACCAAATTTGTGTTTTGTTGTTGTTTGTTCCACACCTCAACCAGTTATTTGACTTCCTATACTCCAAATGGGTATGCTACAATTTAGTTCAATTTTGGCACTAACTACCTGGTGTTCATGTAGACCCCACAAACCAAGGGCTCATTCCCACAAGACTGCCCCTATTTTAGATGTCAATTGCAAGTATCAGAATACCCATATTTTTGTCCTACTTGGCTGCAAAGTTGGGAGTTTCCACAACCCTACCTTCAGGTATGATAATTTGCAAGAACAGCTGTCAGAACTCAGAAAAACAGCTTACTTACTATGACTGATTTATTATAAATGACAACATGAAAGACACAAATGAACATTCATATGAAGAGATACATAGTGCAAGGTTCAGAAGGGTCCCATGGAGTTGGTGTGTGCTATCCTCCTGGCATGTAGACACATTCACCAGACCAGAAGCACTCTCAGTCATTTAAGTTTTTGTGGAGGTTTCATCATACAGGAATGATAGATTATTAACTCAGTCTATAGCACCTCTCTCCTTCCTAGAGGTTAAGCCGGGAGTGGGTGCGAGGAGAGTTAATGCCTGAGTGGGGGGTGAGCCTTGCCAAGAGGTTGCAGGGAAGGGCTGAAAGTTCCCAGCTTCTAATTAAGGTTTGGTCTTTCTGGTGACCAGCCTTTATCCGGAAGCCAACATAGGGGCCTTACAAGAGTCTCCTTTTTAGAACAAAATATGTTCTTATCACTTACAGAATTCCAAAGGATTGGAGGTCTGTGTCAGGAACTGAAGGCAAAAACCAAATGTTAACAAAAGATGCTCCTGGCACTGCTGTCTCTCAGGAGATCTCAAGGGTTTTAGGAACTCTGAGTCAGGAACCAGGGATGAAGACCACATAGATATTTTTAATTATACCACAGTAGCACAATTATAAAGCATGCTTCTTAGCCTTGGCACATAGGAGATATTATCAAATGCCACTTACACCTCCTATTTGCATATTTTCATTTTCATTTAAATACTTCATCATAACTGAGGGACACTTTGGGAATTTAGTTATTCCATTAATCGAATTTTAGTGGTTTCTAAATCAGATTTACTAAAGGTATGCTTTAGAATATGAACATTTTCCTCAGCTGCTAAACTAGTCATAAATGTCTTATGGTTACAGCTGTAATCCAGCATAAAATCAAGAAATCAAGAAAATGAATTTTAAAAGATTTTTTAAAAAATAAAGACCATAAGTACCCAAGTTATTAGATTTTTCCACTATAATTTTATTAACTAATAACCTTATATGCTCAAGTTAGCTTTTTAACTCAGATTGCAAATAGTGGAGGAAGAAAGAAACTATTCTAGAATAAAAGAAAATCAAAATACAGGGTTGTAAACACACATGCTTGCGAACAAACATTAGTTGTGAAATCCTTAGCAACAAGTCTCTGGGTTTCTCTCTTTCAGCACACTTATCAGGTGCCAAAGAATAGACTGAAATAGTAGAAGTGCACACACGCTGGCAAGGGCTGGCCCACTCTGACCAGGCAGATATTGCTAGATTGTAATATTTGAGGTCAAATTTCAACCTATGGTACAAAACTATTCTGTGGATCAGTCAGCAACTTCAAAACTCTGAGAGAAACAAAAATCAAAGAAAAAGAAAAAAAAGAAATAATACCGTGAACCTGTTTCACTGAGAATAAAGAATGTAAAGAAAACAAAGGAAAAACTAAAAGCTTGTTCTATCACAGGTATGAGATGCTATGATACATGAAGCCGATTCCATGAAGTATGTTTTAAAACCTTGTTATCACTGAAGTGTCTTTACAAGCTGATTTAACTGTTTCAGGCCAACCACAGTGCACACACCATCTCTGTGAGACTTCCACCTAACCCCAGTTGTAAGGGAAATGAATGGTGTGCATTTTACGTTAAAGGACAGTCTGCAATAATAAAGTAAATAAGCCAACATGGGTTCCACTGTAAACTTTGGAAGCATAATTTATGCAACAGATGTTTAGATATCAATCTATTTATGGAAAAAGATTCTATGCATTTTACAAATGCTTTTACCATCCTTTATTAAAATAATCTTTGACAGGTGTTCACTGATTTGTCTCCAGTGCACATCCCAAGCTGATTTTATTCATATATCAGTAGTGTGAATCCGCTGGCACAGTGTGTATATATGAGAAATGTGATAAGATTTTACCTTATAAATATAATCAGATAAAATAACTCCTGAGAGAAGCTATTAAAACCAGCTGAATGTTAAACATGATGGCTGATGTTGCATAATTTATTGTAACATATCATTTTACTCAATGAATAAACCATTAAAAAGTGAGAAAAAAACAAATTGAAAATATTCGACTTTGACAAATGATAATGTTTGTTTTACTGAAATTATATCACCAATACTGGATGTATTAAAAGGAAGAATTTGCATTTTTTATAGGTTTTTTTAATTTGGTTTTCTTAGTTTTTGAATTGAGATTTTTATCTAGCATGAAGGATCACAGCTGAAACACTGATACTTAGAACATTCTTTTGAATTCAACATAACTATATTACCGTGTGCCACATTATATTTGTTTTCCGCTTTTTTTTCTAGATTCAAACTAATATGAATCATTTATTGATACATTGTGCCAAACATCATTTGGTTTCATTTGTTGATGTTGGAATTATATAATTATATACACAAAGGCAAATGCTGCCACTGAAATCTAATAACTATAGTGTGTAATTTTTTTAATCTGATTTTTTACATAACGTAAAAATGTATGGAAACATCACATTATACGCGATTAATATGTACAATTGTAATATGCCAATTAAAAACAAACTTTAAAAAATATATTTGAATAAAATCGCAAAATTATACACACATGTACATAATATTTTATGAGACCTGCAGAATGTATCTGCAGATCTTCAGTTTGAGATACGCACAACAAAAAAATGTCAGAAATTAGTGTTGTTCTACGAAGTGAGTATGGAGTAAGTGCAGACTTAGTTCGTCAGGCAAAGATACTGGTTAAGGCTAATGTTAGGTCGTAAGCATATCAGTACTAAAAACAAGGGCCATGTTTGTAACTGGAAAAGAAGTGGTGACAACATCAACAAAGGACATAGGAAAAAATGCCAGTTGAAATGACCAAATTTAATATTTGTAGATAATAAGAGTGTGACCAAAAATGTTTTTTTTATTCAAGGCAAACATGCAGTTCTGTTTAGTGCCTTAAAGGTGGCCTTAAAACTGAGATATAAATATTTATTTTCATTTCATCCCCAAATCAAACTAAAATGAAATAGTTCAGATAATGAAATATAGTAATGGTTAATACAAGTTCCTAATAGCAGCAAAATTAAAACCATATCTAACATAAATCAATTCTTTTTTTCTGGCAAGTAAGTGGACGTAGCCTTGGGACCCAAGAGGGTGGCACCAGGCCAGTTTTATACTCATTCTGGACATGTGCAGCAGATGGCATGGCAGCTACTCCATTTACACTGCAATGATCCCATTATCATTTTATTTTTCTTGGCACTGGGATAACGTATAAGGTAATTTTAATAAGCATTAGAAAATGCTTTCATAAATTATATACTTGATAAAGGCATAAAATATATAGTTGCATATAAAAGATACATGCCCTTGGCCATGATTATACATTTTCAAATGAAAAAAATATATACACTTTATAAAGAAATTTTTTTTAATTACTCCTAAATACATAATTTTCGTTGTAAGCCATTGTTTAACGTAACATCAGGAAATTATCAGTACTTCAGAAAAAAGGAGTAGAAAGCAATTTTCTGGCAGCATTGACAGAAAAATTAGTAAGAATATTAGATATGGTCTATGTGATTATTTCTATACTGAATGTTTCTGCACCATTACAATTCAGGTATTGAGATGTAGAAAAGATTTATCATTTAACGTATCAGTTGTTAAATATTTATTGTAAAAATTAACTGCGTTTTTAATGCACCTGGTCATATAATAGATTCTCTGAAAAGTAGAGAAAATATTTCATGTTTCTTCAAATTTCTAATACATTTCATGAAAAAATTAAAATATTAGCCCAGAAAAATTATATTTGTGCACATTACAGGAAATAATTTTACATTTGCAGGTGTAAGGAAAATTAGTTAGACAAATAATTATTTCTATGAATATAAATCAATTATTTTAAAAACTTTCCTCTAATAAAATAACAATGCCAAAAATACTTTCTTCTCTTTTTTCTTCCAAAGAAAGAGACATAATTAAGCCTTCCTTAGACATTATTTCACCTGACTAAAGAATATCAAAAAATAAATACTATCATTTTAAGAACTTCAGAAACCACTCTGTTAATTAAAATATTGATTTGGTTTAAGGATGAATAATAGAACAGTCTAATGGTTGAATGAATGGAACAAACTTTCCCACAAACTGCATCTTTCAAATAAAAATAAATTCAGAACTTTAATCCAGTGTTGAGATAAGATGGGACATTATGGAATTTTGTTTTGATTTTTTCTTCTTTCTCTGAATAAGGACTTTTATAAATGACTAGGTAACTAGTGAGTATTGAAGATGGTGGAACATGAAGGTTGAAAAGACACCAAAGAGGCTGGTATTATTGTCAAGAATTTTGGCTCAAATGACTAATGAATGATGGTTTAGCCAATAGAAAGTGAGTGTAACAGAAAGATAAGTAAATTTGAGAACTAAATAAAAGATGTGCTCACTTTTGGACATGTTTAGTTGAGGTACCTGTGGGGTAGTCACATGAAGATGTCTATTAAGAGTAGGAAATCTGAGTCTGAAATTTAGAAAACAGGTCTTGTGTGGATATAGTAGAACTGAGAGGCACAAAAATATGGTAAGTATCTGGGAGCAGATACTAGGCAATACAGTTAAGTAAAATAATAGAACTGTTAGATGGTAGATAATCTTAACAATGGAAGCAATATAGTCCAAGGACCATATGCATCAGAATCATCTAAGCTATTTTATGAAGACTCAGGTTAACGTGCCATCTCTTTGATCTATTTTAGTGACAGGGCTCAGGAATCTGCTGTTTTTTTGTTTTGTTTTGTTTTTAAGGGGCATCTCTGGTGAGTCAAGGTAGAGTAAAGCTTGTGATCCATTGATTTAACTGGACAATAGAAGACAAGACCAGAAATAAACATGACATAGTGTAAAGGTAAAGAAAATGTGAAGAAAACCAGATCACAAACACAGGTACAAGATAATCGCAAGAAAAAAATGGCTGATGAGTTAATACTGTATGCTGCATGGAGGTCAAATTTAAAAACTGAAATTTTCTGGCCGGGTGTGGTGGCTCATGCCTGTAATCCCAGCACTTTGGGAGGCCGAGGGAGGTGGATCACAAGGTCAAGAGATCGAGACCATCCTGGCCAACATGGTGAAACCCCATCTCTACTGAAAATACAAAAATTAGCTGGGTGTGGTGGCGCATGCCTGTAGTCCCAGCTACTTGGGAGGCTGAGGCAGGAGAATCACTTGTACCTTGGACGTGGAGGTTGCAGTGAGCCGAGATTGTGCCGCTGCACCCCAGGCTGGCAACAGAGCGAGACTCCGTCTAAAACAAAACAAAACATGGAAATTTTCCTACTATAATTAAAATCAGGCATTGGTTTCTTATTTATTGGTATCAATTGGTAGTATTATTACAAGAAGTTTCAGTGGAACAGTGGGAGAAAACAGTGAAGAGTAAGATGAAGAAGTTGGAACAACTGACATGGATATCTTTGTCCATAAATTATAAATTAAATGACAACTTTTATTTTTCAAGAGTAAAGAAACCCATGCAAATAAGCTGAATAATATATACTCTTCTTGACATCAAACAATAATTTAACCGATTTATCACTTTTGTAACTCAAAATTCCACACTATACTTCCTCGTTCATGTAGTATACTTAAATGAACATGTTCTTTTCTCCCTTTACAGGGTGGGGCAGTAGGAGACACTGAATTCACATATCATTGAAAACCAAAATATTAGAAGAGCTTAAGTTTTAAAGAATGCTGGCAAATGTTTAAGCGATCAGCACTGCTGGTTTACTATAAACATAATGGACTACACGTTGAGTACCTTGACATATGAGTAAATTCATATAGTACAAATCATTCAACACACATATCTTGAGAACAAGGTAAGTCTCAGAAAGGTAGCTACAACATAAATGTTTGTCTGTTGTCACTTATTAATGAGGCCAACAATCCCCTGTACACGAGTCTTTTGTAAAGTTTCTGCTGAATGCTTTGTGCTATTGAGTTTCTTGCTCAATACAGATGATTTGGGAATAAGCAAATAAAAGTCATTGTTGTCTTCACGTAATCATTTTTCTGGTGCTTGATTCCCTCTGCCGCTACATCTTTATTGTGTTTGGGCATTGAGGGTAGAAATAATTAAAATGATTTTTATTTTCTGTGCTCACTGTGTCTAGAAACCATCAAATTAATATTAAAAAATGCTTTCCAGTGTTGATGTTTGCTGAAGAAGAAGAAGGAGGCTTTTGTAGGAGGCTTTTGTAGATGGGCTTTGTTATCAAAATAATGAAAAAGAGTCTATTGTTTGGAGCATTTGCTGCTCATCCTTAAATTAGTAAACGTATTCAAGGCCATTCAAACTTGAGGAAAACTGCTTTATTTGGGATCTTCATAGAAGCTAATGGAAAGCTTGGCTGAATTAATTACTATACAACCTATTCATATAGATGAGGCCAGGGAAAGTAAATATTTTAAACATTAGATTTTTTTTTCTTCTTGCAGATTATTGTGTATCTCAATATTAAATAAAGATTTTGAAAAAGTATTGTATTTTTTTGCCATCTTGGGATTCTAACAGTGAAGCAGATGCATTTGGTCATCACATCTGCTTTAACTCTGAAGTAGGAAATGCTTATCATTATCATTTTATTACCATTATTATTATTACTGACAACTCACCCTTATTGGATACTGCTAAACCCGGCCACTGTGCTAAGTGTTATACAGCAGTGTTTAATTTAATTCTTGTTGCACCAAAATGAATACCTTTGTTTTGCTGATGAAGGAACCTAAGAACAAACATATAAAGTAATTTGCCTTAGATACACACCTAATACGAGACAGAACCAAGATGAGAACTAGTTTTATCTCAACATTGAGCTTGAGCTTTTAACCATGATTGCTTTCTGTTTCTGAATGAATGTGGTATAAAGTGCAGCCCAGAAGTGAGATGCCTCCACAGGTAAAAACGCAGTGCCATTGTCTTTTGTGCAGAATAAAGAGCATCAATAGCTTAGGCTGTTTATAAAAGTTAACATATTTTTGTGTGGATTTGTGTAAAGTGTGTGTGTATGTGTGTTTGCACATAGAAAGCAAGAGCAGTGTAGTAGTTCCTAAGCCATATTTGCAAATATAGGCTAACGTGTAAAGAGCCAAGGCTGATGACCAAAAAAAAAAAACAAAAAAAACAAAAAAAAAAAGAAAAAAGAAAAAAAGATTTTAGCCAAGAACTAAAATTATAAGAATAATTGTATGTGAATACAGTTCCCCTAAGAAAGTTACATATAACACTAATTAAATACTCTTTGTTAAGACCTGGAGCCTAGAGCACAGTGTAGGGGAAAAGATGTTCTTCAACCCTCATGTTCAGTGACTGGACTAAGAATTAAACTTACATAAAACAGATTAACAGGAGAAAAGGATACAAATTGATTTAACATTTTTACATGTACATAAGAGTCTATAGAAGTGAGATAGGAATGTGGCAGGACTAGTTAGTTTCCAGTAACAGGTTATAAGACCCCACAGGAGACAGGAGACAGTAAAGAAACTGACCAAAACCAACTAAAACCAAGATAATGAAGGAAGCTACCTCTGGTTACTTTCACTGCTCATTATATGCTAATTATAATGCATTAACATGCTAAAGAACACCCCCATCAGCACCAAGACAGTTTATAAATGCCATGGCAGTGCCCAGAAGTTAACCTGTATAGTTTGGACGGGGGAAAATACCTGGTTCTAGGAACTCCCCACCTCTTTCCCAAAAAACTCATGCATAATTCACCACTTATTTGGCATATCAAAAAAAAAAAATATATATATATATATATATATATATAGCCACCTACGGATTAGCCACCCTTTATTCCTTTATTTTAATAAACTTGCCTTCACTTTACTCTGTCAACTCTTTATTGAATTATTTCTACCGCAAAGCCAAGAACCTACTTAGCCTCCTGAGTTGAGTCCCGGTTTTGGGGTTCACCCTGCAACAGAAAGAAAGTGAAGACCAGAAGAAACCATTATGCCTGAAAGCTTACATTTTGTTTTTTACATAAAGAATGATAAATTGTGGGGATATGATAAGATAAAGGGGCTTGGGCCAGCAGCAGTAAATTGTGGGCTAGTGACTAGGAAATATAATGAGGATGAGGAGGAACTAATGGAAGATTGTTATTTTAACAGGTTTGTTTGCAGAAGTCCATTTTGGCATCATATTACAGTGTCTAGAGATAACAATGTTATCCTTTTCCTGGTACAGGGAAATTTTATGGCCTGCTTTTAGGTAGAAGGGGGAAGGTCAGGGAGCCCTTCCTGAATCTGGCTGTATCTCAGTGCCTTCAGCTCAAAACAATCCACATGCCAAAGCAGCATGTTTTGAGGTGATGTGTTCTGAACCCCTTCAACAGAAAAGGTATAGAGGTATCATACATAAAATAAAAAGAACACACTCCTATTCTAGGTAAATTATCTGATATCTCAGATTGACAGTCGAGGTTCCTATCAGTTGATAGGTTATAAATAAAAATAATTTTAAGACCATCTCAGTTTAAGAATTAAAATATTCCACATCATGTGAAATGAAGGAGTTTAATGGGATATTTTGGTCTGACATATCACCTGCTTGAATTTGACAGACAGGGTAATTTATTTGGTCTGAGAATGAGGAAAAAATATTTTTGTTTTCAGTCTTCACCTACTCTTCTCCTTCTCCTTCCTTTAGTTGTTGTGGAAAGGAATGGAGTAATTATACTTAAGTTTGCCCTTATGTAGCATTGGTGCAAAAACTGCTTGGATCAAAATAAATTTTTAGGAAACAAAATTAGTGTTTTTGTTTGAGCATTTCCAGAAGTAAAAATTTAAGTAAAAGAGGTTTACTTGAGAGATGACAGAAAATTCCAATAGGGGAATAAAAAATTAGACGAGGAAGTAAAGGCAGACAGGAAAGGGTGTCCTGCCAAGCCAGCTACCGCTGTGGGTTCCTGGAACTTAATCCTACTGGCAAACTTCATGGAGTAAAGCATACAACACATGGCTAAGATTTATCTCACCTGAAATATGAGGAAACTGAAGAATATATATACATATATATATAAATATATATACATATATATATATCAAATTTCTTTAGTCATTGGCTGAAGGTTCTTGGTGGTAGGGAAATAAAGCAGTATTTGCTTTCTTATCTTAGGGAAGATTTCTTCTGCAGAAGGCAGAGATGTTTGTAGACAATTGCCTTTCTGAATTGTAGTGACCAAAGTTTAAAACAACTAGAGATATTATGACTGGTGTCCTGAGAATGTAGCAAAGCAGTGTCCAGCATCAAGAGGAAATCCAGAGCTGGGAGTTAGAAGTTAGGTTGGCGGGCACTGAAGTGGTAAGGACAGGAGAATATGGACAGGGCATACACAGTGTCTGCTAGAATTCATGTTAAAATTTCATATGTAAAATATTAGTCTATAGGGTAGGGTTTTTTAAATTAAAAGATTTAGTATTTGTCAGAATCTAGAACTTTGAAGGTTATCGATTAATCTAGTTTACTCTTTTTTCTTTCTTTTCTGATTCTGCCCTTATAAAATTGAATGGAATCAGCCAAATTTTTGCAACTGCCCAAAGAAATAATCTGGAATTCCTTAAACCTTCGGGTTCTTCTCAGTTCCTAACACGAGTTTTTAATTTCTAGGAGCTCAGAGAGCCGATGTCCAGGTTTAAAGCCCCATAGTAACTAGAAAGCTATGAAGCACACATAGCTTCTTTCTATGAAGTTCACATTCTCTTGTATTTCCGATTTAAATTATATCACAGGAGATTCAGTTATGACAACTATTACACTGAATGTTCAAATAGGCTGTTTTTGATATTAATAAAATTTAAAAACTAATAAAATTTACCATCCAAAATATTCTTGCTTCCACCCCTTTCCTTAAAACTTTTATTATGAAATGTATTGCCTGCAAGGAAACACTTGGTGTGGTGTCTGAGGGATAGGTGAGCACAAGGACACTGTGAGATATATAGCCCACCTACCTTTATTATATGTAAAAACAGTGAAAGAATGTAATTGGGAATGCAGTTGGTTAAGCACTGACTTAAGACCTTTTTGATTTTGGCCCAGATAGTCAAATTATTTATGAGAAGCAGAGTATTTCTGTGACAGATATTGCTCAATAATAGTCTTTAATGACAATTACGAGGCGGTCCAGTTATTGCTACCTCTACTCAGATAGTGAACATGCATTATGTTTTGTATTCAAAAGGTACTTTGTTGGGAGTAGTGGCCATTGACCTTCCTAACTGGATTATTTGCTAGTAAGAAGTATTTTCATGATTAAAACAAGATGTACCATGGGAACACTGGCATACAAATATATTTTTTCATATCTTTATCTCATTGTTTTCCTTCTGAAGAAAAAGTTCTCAATCTAATATGCATAAATGCTTCTGTATATATCTAAATCTTCTGTCACACAGCTGCATTCAAAATCAGTAATCAGGAATTGTTAGATATACTTATGAAAGTTGCTTTGTTCTTCTGTGCTGAATAGGTGCTTTACTGCAAAAGAAAAGTAGATATGAAAAAAAAGGCTATGATTTTGAGAAAAGACAACATGGAAGAAACGAAGAAACCTAATGTTTAAACTCCAGCATCACCTAAGACAGGAAGAGAAGTTGATGGGTGACCTGAAGGTTTACCACCGTTACTGTCATCCTCCATTTTATTCAGTACTATGAGAAATTAGGCAAAATTGAAGTGCCCAAAATTTATCTTAATTATTGGGAAAGTAAAGGTCTAGAATTGAAATCAAATACAAGCATAGATCCAAAGCAGAAAAAGATTGGTGGTTTATTTGAATTACTTACATAAATTTAGTGATTTTTGTATTTAGAAAACAATCCTCTGTAATAAAATCACTACAGAATGCAAGTATGGATTAATAGCATTTAATTACATTATTAGTTCAATTTAATTAAATAACCCTGTTTAGTAAAGTCAACTTTAAAGGTTTGAGAGTAAGATAGCAAATCAAAGCTCCACAAACTGGTATGCAAGAAGATTTGCACGACTAGGGGGTCTGGGTATGAAGTGGGGCAGCTAGTAACTGCATTCTTTAATAACAAGGGTTATGTAGCTCAAGGCTAACTAGACTATCAGCTTCTAGCACAGTGCTTTCCTTGTACAGCATATGGACTTAACGATCAAATGATGCATGGTGAAACATTTTTGATTGGACTTTAATTTGTCAAAGATTTTTTTTTCTTTAGTGTATCTTACCAGTTGTTATCAGATACCACTTAATTTTCTTTAGATTTTCACATTATATACCTCAATAAAAATAACCATTTAAACCATTCAAACTGTTCTTTCCCTGGTTCCGGGGAATGTTTCTCAAATGTTTATTAACAAGAGAGCTATTGTGAAGATGATTTGTGAAGAGGCTCAGAGAATCAATAGGTTCCTTAGTGAAAAAGAAGCATCTGCAAAAGACAGAAGGGGAATAGGTAAAATAACTTCAAGGGCAGACTGAAGGCTGCCTGGCTTGTGGACCTGAAGCTTTATCTATTGCTCCTTGAAATTATATATGTGTGTGTATGTGTCTTTGGGTGTGTATATATCTTCACCAAATCACACTGTCAAATGTGAGTGAATTAGTTTCTTTTGTTTTCCTCTACATATTAGGTTGGTGCAAAAGTAATGGCAAAAACCACAATTACTTTTGCACCAACCTAATATTTTTGTTTCTCTCTTTCATACTGTATTTAGGCAAGTGTCTCGTTTGTGCTTTCTTGCCTTAGAGAAGGTTTGTGTCTTGGCAGAAGGCAGAGGTGCCTGTAGGCACTTTCTTTTCTGGCTTTTGTTTACACATGTTTAAAATAATTGAAGAGGTCAGCGAGGTAGCTCATGCCTGTAATCCCAGCACTTTGGGAGACTGAGGCAGTTGGATCATCTGAGGTCAGGAGTTCGGGACCAGCCTGCCCAACATGGTGAAACCCATCTCTACTAAAAATACAAAAATTAGCCGGGCATGTTGGTAGGCGCCTATAATCCCAGCTACTTGGGAGGCTGAGGCAGGAAAATCACTTGAACCCAGGGGGTTGAGGTTGCAGTGAGCCGAGATCGCACCACTGCACTCCAGCCTGGGTGACAGAGCAAGACTCTTATTTCAAAATAAATAAATAAATAATAAATGAAATCATTGAAGAGATTATGATTTGATTTGTGTTATGAATACCTAGGAAGATAGATTTTGAGGAACAGAGAAAGGACTGCAAAATAAATACTAAGAAAGAGAAATTCACATCAGGTTAAAAATACTCCTGCAGAGTGGCTATAGGATATCTTGAAAATGAGAGACTGGGGAGGAAGTCTAGGCCTTAAGACTCCCAGCAACACCAAACTAATTTATGCCTCAATTATTACATGGAAGCAATGGAGCTGGTGGACTTGATGGGGCCATGTGAACCAAAACAATGTTTCTTTGGCAGGGCCATCTGATCACCAATGTTCACAATAGTGGAAAGGAGGAGACAGGCGGTATAAGTGATGACTGAAGTTAAAGTTCTACATGCCTGTATATGTAGCGGCTTGGAGTCAAATTTCATTTGGCAAGAGTTTTATTTCTGTTGTATCCGAATCATCTGTTTTTTCCTCTCTAGTATATCATAATCTGCTGTAAAGAAAAATTTACCTACCATTAAAATCCCTTCTTTCTGTCCCTCTCCAACTATTTCTCTAATCCCTTGATTTTTTTTCCACATTGTTTTCTAAAACAAAATCAAAAACAAAAACAGCCCTTGCTTTCTCCACATCCCCACCTCCTTTAGGCTTTCAACTTACTTTTAGTCTGATTTGTTCATACCACTTACTCACTTTACACACATCAAATCACCGAGGGTCTTTTTCTTGTCGAATGCAATTTTCAATTCTCTCTTCCTAACTGAACAGATCTCTAAGCACCATTCAACACATTTGACTCTTATTTATTCTTGAAACACTTGTTTATGGGCTTTTATAACTCCAAATGCTCTTGGTTTTCTTCCAATCTTCTGCATGTCTCCTTAAAGTCCTTAGTTATCGCCTCCACTTTTGTCAAATCTTTGAATTATTTGAATTATTTTGGTGATTTCTTCACTTCTTTCCTTTGTATTTTGGCTTATCATACGATGTGGGCTTTCTGGTTTATAGGTATTAATTCTTATTAGAAGAATGATCCATGCACTGTAAGCTGATGCTGCCACCTGACCTCTTTGAGTTTATTTTACCATTTAAGCAATGGGCAAATAAGGGAATAACTTTATTGCCTGGGCCGATTGATCCTGAGTATGAAGACAGCATTTTTAACCTTCAGACCAGAGAGGATTCTGTGTAAGCCTAGAGGATTCTTAGAGCACCTCCTTAAAACTCTGCTATTCCGGGGTAAATTGTAAAGATATCCTACTGTTAAAAGATGAATTTAGGCACATTAGAACTTAACACGTTAATTTCAACATTCAGCCATTTACAAATAGGGCAGGACCAGACTGCAGGGAGTTCAGCGCTCCGCAGAAAAGGCAGGAGAGGAAAACTTTTATAAGGTGTTGGAGGAAGCAAGACAAAGAAAATATTTATTTGATTAGTTAAAAAGGAAATTCCCTAGTTAGAGGCTAGTTGGCAGTTTCTGGCTGGTAAAGCTTAAGTTTTGTTTTTCTTGGCTAAACACATTCACTCTGAGTTAGGTTTTGTTTTGCTTATGTTGGGACCCAATGTATTGGGGCTATCTCAACCTAATGGCCTGCCAGATAATTTTTTTAATATTATAACAGCCTGATAAAGCAGGACTACTAATGGCTCAGACCTTCAGACCTTTCCAGAATGAAAGTTAGACTATCTCCCCTAAGAAAAGACTTCAACCAGCCTGATAGCTAATTGAAAGCAAAGGGAATATTGGGTTTGGATAGTAAAAGGAAAAATACACACACACACACACACACACACACACACACACACACACACACACACACACAGTTAAATATCAACTATGGCCATATATCCAAATGCAGACATGACTACTGTGGAAGGTAGGCAGTTTTCTTCCTTGCTTGGTTATTATTGAATGTACCAACCAATTCCCTTCTCATCTTCTTTCCCTGTTACAATTGACCCTTGAACAACACAGTGGGTAGGTGTGCCAGACCTCCTGTGCAGTCGAAATTTCTGTATAACATTTAACTTTTCAAAGCCTACTGTTGACCAGAAGCCTTACTGTTAACATAAACAGTCAATTAACACATATTTTGCATTTTATAGATATTATATACTGTATTCTTACAATAAAGTAAGCTAGGGAAAAATGTTGTTAAGACAATTATAAAGAAAAATATATTTATTATTCATTAAGTGGAAGTGAATCATCATAAAGAGCTTCACACTTGTTACCTTCACACTGAGTAGGCTGAAGAAGGGAAGGAAGAGGACGGGTTGGTGTTGACACCTCAGGGGCGGCAGAGGCAAAATAAAATATAAGTGGACCTACACAGTTTAAACCTATGTTGTTCAAGGGTCACCTGTATTTTATGTAAGATATTCTAGTGTTGGTTAAGCCCCTAATTCAGTTTTTAAGCTAAGGATTTTAAGCAGAATTGTGATTAATCTAGTGAAGTAATGAATATCACACAGAGACTTCTAGAATGACTTACAGAAGACTGTGCTTGCCTTTTATGTGAGAAAACGCATTTTTTTTCAAGGAACAGTAGCATTATGTTAGGCTGAGATAAAATATGGCTTTTTCTTTAACTTAAGTGAGGAACAGTATATATAAATCAAACAGCATCCATTTAAAATGTAGAATTTGATCTATTTTCACAGTTGTATATACCCATGAAACTGTAATTACATACCCTGTAGCCAAAACGTTTTTAAAAATTACAACCAAAATACTTCTCATGCCCATTTGTAGTCTATTCCTCCCTCTTTCCACTGCCAGACAACCATTTATCTGCTTTTTGCTGGTATACTTTAATTTGCATTTTCTAGAAACTTCTATAAATGTAACCATTTAATATGTATTTTGTGTGTCTAGTTTCTTTTACTCAACACAATAATTTTGAGAGTTAACCATGTTACTCTGTGTGTCAGTAGTTAGTCGTTTTTATTTCTGAGTAAAATTCCATCTTCTGAGTATACCACAATTTGTTCATCAATTTATCTGTTGATGGGCATTTGGCTCATTTCCCACTGTTTTGCTACCATGAATAAAGCTACCATCAACTTTTTGCATAATTTGTTACGCAGCAATATGTGTTTGTTTAGTATCCAGGAATAAAATGTCTCCATCCTACGGTGGGTTTAGGTTGAACTTTTGAGGAAACTGTTAACCAAGTTTCCAAAATGATTGTACCATTTCACGTTCCCACAAGCATTGTGAGTTACGATTGTTATACAACATCATCAACACTTGGTATAGTCAAGTGTTTTTAATTTCTTTTCTTTCATCATTTTTTAAAAATTTTAATAGCTGTTAAGTGGTATGTCATTGTGGTTTCATGGTTTTAATTCATATTCTCCTAATGGCAGAAAATTTTTTGTTTCATATACAATTAGCCACTCCTATATATTTTTATAGTTACTTATTTGTTAAAATTTTATGCCTACTTTAGTGTTGGGGTGTTTATGCTCTTATTATTGTTAGTGTTCTTTATATACTTAAGGTATATGCCCTTTGTTAGATATGTGTATTTTGAATATTTTCTCATCTTCTGTGCCTTTCATTGTTTCTTAATATGTCTTCTGAGCAACAAATATTTTAAACTTTTATTAAGTCCAGTTCACCAATTTTGTTATGATTAGTGCTTATTTCCTAAGGACTCAAAATATTTGCCCGTTCCAAGCTTTCCAAGATATTTTTCAATGTTTTCTTTTAGAAGCATAATAGTTTTACCTTTTTACTTAAGATATTTGATCCATTTTAAATTATATTCTGTGTATGGAGTGAGGGATAATTTTATTTTCATGTTTATTTCCATATGCATATTTAGTTTTTCTAGCAATGCTTTTAGAAAAAAAAATCTCTCTTTTCCACACTGAATTGCTTTGGAACCTTTGTCAACATTTGTCTAGGTGTGTGTGTATCTATACCTGGATTGTTTATTCTGTTTCAGTGATGTATGTCTACCTCATTGTCATTACCATGCTCTCTTAATTAATTTTAAAATAATTATTCAAACAAAAATTCAAATATAAGTCCTGTAACTTTGCTCTTCCTTTCAAAAATTGCTTTTGCACTCCTTGGTCATTTACATTTCTGTATAAATTGTAATCAAGTTGTTAGATTCATTTTTTTAATGCAAACAAATTTTGATCATGGCTGCTTTGACTTTCCAGATCAATTTGAAAAGATGTAACATCTTAATAATATTGAGTTATTCTAATTCATAAATATAATGTATATCTTCCTTAAGTATTGTTTAAAAATGTTCTGTCAGAAATACTCTGCAGTTTTAAAAGAACAAGATCTGGTTAGAGAAATGCAAATCAAAACCACAATGAAATACCATCTCACACCAGTCAGAATGGCTATTATTAAAAAAGCAAAAAATAGTAGTTGCTGACAAGGCTGCAGAGAAAAAAAAGAACACTTATACACTGTTGATGAGAGTGTAAATTAGTTCAGCCATTGTGGAAGACAGTGTGGCAATTCCTCAAAAACCCAAAACAGAAACCACTTGACCCAGCAATCCCATTATTGGGTATATACTCAGAGGAATACAAATTGCTTTACTATAAAGACACATGCACACATACATTCATTGCAGCAATATTCACAATAGCAAAGACATGGAATCAGCCTAAATACCCACAATGATAGACTGGATAAAGAAAATGTGGTACATATACATCATGGAATACTATGCAGCTGTGAAACAGAACAAGATCACATCCTTTGCAGGGACATAGATGGAGCTAAAGGCCATTATCCTTAGCTAACTAATGCAGGGACAGAAAACCAAACACCACATGCTCTCACTTATAAGTCGGAGCTAAATGATGAGAACACATGGACATATAGAGAGTAACAACACATACTAGGGCCTCCTGGAGGTTGGAGGGCAGGAGGAGGGAAAGGATCAGGTAAAATAACTAATGGGTACTAGGCTTAATACCTGGGTGGTGAAATGATCTGGCCAACAAACTCCCATGACACAGGTTTACCTATATAGCAAACTTGCACATGTACCCCCTGAATTTAAAATAAAAGTTAAATTTAAAAAAAAGTATGTGGTTGTGTTCTAATAAAACTTTATTTACAAAACATCAGGAAAACAAAACAAAAAGCAAAAACATGATCTGGTATGTGCTTTGTTTAATTAATTTCTAAATATTTTATGGTTTTTAAAATGCTATTTTGAATGACATTATTATAATACAACTAGTGTTTTCGATTAATATATATTCTGTGACCTTGTTATATTTGCTTATTAATTGTAAAAGTTGTTTTGTATATTCCTAAAGATTTTCTCCTGAGATTATCATGGGTCTGCAAATAGAAGTAGTTATTTCATTCTTTGCAATTTGAATACCCTATATTTTTATCTTGCCTTATTGAAATGGCAAAAATCTCTAGTACAACATGTGATCAAGTGGTAACATCAGGTACCCTTCCATTGTTATTCTTACTGGTCTGCTTTTTGGATACTGTATATGGATAAGAGAAGATGAAAGCATTTGAATTATTCAGTGCAGCAAACTATATCATAAATATATCATTAGTTGAATCTCGGTATCATCACAGACCTTGAAAGCTTTTCTCTATACCTTAGGAGTAGAATGCTTGATAAAGGAATTTTCCAGATTTCCTTCTCAACAAGATTCTGGTTAGATTCCAGCAGTGAGGGACACTCATACAAAATTGAAAAGACAGTGTTATGGAGTGACTTTGTGTTCCCCTGAAATTCATATTTTGAAGTCCTAACTTTGAGAGGTAATTAGGGTCAGATGAAGTAGTGAAGGTGCTGCGCTCCTGATGGGATTAATGGCCTAATAAAAAGAGGAATCTCTCTCTCTCTCTCTCTCTCTCTCTCTCTCTCCACAGTGAGAAGACAGCCATCTGCAAACCAGAGAGAAAGTCCTCATAAGGAACTGAATCAAACTTCACCTTGATCTTGGGCTTCCCAGCCTTTGCAACTGTGAGAAATAAATGTGTCTTTATGCCACCTTGTCTATGGTATGTTATAGCAGCCCAAGCCAACTAATACAGGCAGGAACTGAAGAAAACATTACTTACTAGCAGCTGCTGTGATCAGGTAACTCAAATTATTGTTGGTTTTCAGCAGCACCAAAAAGAGTTGGAAATAGTCTGCTCTGAGCTTCATGCAGGTAGAACCCCTGTAGTGGCATCTCTGAACTCTCTGTGTTATCAGATTTCCCAAAAGCTCTTTTCCTCTCCCTTTTCCCCTTCCACCTTACCATTGATTATATCCGTTTCTATTCAATCATATTAAATAATTTCTTACTCAAAATATTTATGGGTTTTAAATTTTTCTTACTCTTTGATATACTTCAACAAAGCAAAGGTATCTAGGGAGTTAATTGTCTTGTTTCTGGGTGTCTCTGTGAGGGTGCTGCCAAAAGAGATTAATATTTCCGTCAGTGAACTGGGAGAGGCAGACCCACCCTCAATCTGGGTGGGCACCATCTAATCAGCTGCCAGCATGGCTAGGATAAAGGCAGATGGAGGAATCTGGAAAGACTAGATTGGCCTAGTCTTCCTGCCTACATCTTTCTCCCATGCTGGATGCTTCCTGCCCTCAAACTTTGGACTTTAAGTCCTTCAGCTTTGATACTCTTGGACTTTCGACCACAGACTGAAAGCCGCACTGTTGCCTTCCTTACTTTTGAGGTTTTGGGACTCAGACTAGCTTCCTTGCTCCTCGGCTTGCAGATGACTTATTGTGGCCATGTGATCGTGTGAGTCAATACTTCTTAATAAACATGCATTTATATATACATCTATCCTGTTGGTTCTGTCCCTCTAGATAACCCTAATACAAGGAACCACCTAGGATTCTCTCTTCTAGTCTTCTCTGCCCACAAATTCATTCTCCACATTGTACCCCAAACAAATTATCTTGAATACAAATTTCATGGCATCCCTTTGCCCAACATCAAGCAGTTGCTTCCAAATTTCAAGAACCTTTACCAGCACTGTAGAACTTTCTTTTGTGATGGGAATGTTTTCTATTCTATCCATTACAGTAGCCACTAGGCACAAGTGGCTATTGAGGACTTAAAATGTGACTATTGCAACTGAGAAACTGAATATTTAATTTTTTAAGACAGATTTACTAAAGTGTATTTTAAATAGCCACATATGGCTAATAGATCATACTTTGCATAGCATAGTCATTCTGAGATAAACTCCAAAGTCTTTAAGGTTATCATTTTAAATCCTTGTAATGTCAGAGTATTATAAGTTTTATAGTACTCTTTTGAAAGCAACAAAACTTAGGTTAAAAATACATAATTCTTATTTAAGAAGCTGAATTATGCCTTGTAATTTGAAGATGTTATTTTAACCAAGGACAGCATGCATTGAGAAGTTCTATGTGCAACATTTGGTGTTAACTTGAGGAAACACCTCTATCAGGACATCTGCTTTGCTGGCATTGTTTTTGTAATGTGGCATTATAAAACCTCACTTACTCCAAGAAGTTGAACAACTATGAAAAAAAGTCAAGGTTGCACTCAGAACCTTTGTATACTATTGATGATCACTAAATATTGTTAAAGTCACCACAGTAAGACTTTATAAATGGTTACATTGTTCAGAGTGTACAGATTTTGCATAACTTATTAGATTTGAGAAGTCGGTCTTAGGAGCAATACTATTTTAAGCATTGTCAGTTCAGTTCAGATTATCACCCTTGAACAGGATAGTAAAATAGCCCCTTTACATATCTTTAACAACATGGTGATTTTCAGATCATTTCTGTGAAACAACTTTAACCTGGAATCTTTCTCAAAATATAAACATTTTGGCTGAATATTTTTGACAGAATGCTCAAGTTTCATTCCTATATTATGAGTCCTAATACAGGAGAAAGACAACATTTATCCCACTACCTTAAATTGGCAAATATGAAAATACCCAATTGATTAAAAAGTCATACATTGAGTTAAAAATGGGCCTGGAAGAGATCTGAGTGTTCTCTTTACACAATTACATATTCTGTTTTCTGATCTATATAATCTGATCAATTCATTAGTCCTCTTATTTTCAATTCATGATTTCTTTTTACATTTTCTAGATGAGAGACATCACTTGGCAGGCAAGATGAAAGGAGTAATTAAGATTCTGTTTACTCTGTGAGTTGTAATTCACAGTTCCTGCTGATTAGCAATGAGCAATATTTGAAAAGTTGACTGTTATTTTGATGTTTGTTTGCTACACTTAGGATAAGAATAACTTTCCTCCATGTGTGGCTTACCGGTGAATGTAAAGCACTCATTTTTACAGGACAGAGAAATAGTCATGGAGGAGCCATAAATCTGAACATCCAAATCTAAATTTACCTGCCATTTCTCTTTAACTGAGAATTTCCCTGTAGAAGGGAAAGTGATACACCTGTGGAGGTCAGGCCAAATGCCTTCACTCACTGGAGCACAGAGCAGCAGGCACAGCACCGAGGCAGTCAGAATGCCCTGGCAGCTGACAATGTTGGTGTCTGAAAACGGATTTTGGCTTTCCATGTTGCATCCAGCGTGAGAACAAAGAAAATTGAAAAAAAAGAAAAAAAACAGGTGAGAAATATTCCAGGTTATGTAAAGTTTGTGGACTACATGTTATTGTTTCTATATTCTTATCATATTTTTAGTTCATGAAACTGAGTAAATAGTATATTAAATGACATGAACAAATTTTCCATCTAACTCTGCCATCGACTCAGTGAATTGCCTAACTTGAGTCGATTCACCTCTGAGCCTTCTATTCTAGATCTGTAAGGAAGAAAATATATTAATGCCTGAATTACTGGCTTGTTTCAAGAAATAAATGAGTAACACAAGTGAAATCACTTGTTACTCTAGATCAATGCTTCTCAAACTTTAGTGAGCACCAGAATCACTTGGAGAACTTGTTAAAGCAGGGCTTTTGGGCATCATACCAAGGCAAAGGCTACCAATTTTATTGACATCCTTCTATCTAATAGAAAAGGTAACCTCCCCACATATACAGACAGAATTCTGTGAACAATTTTCATCAAGAATGGAAACAAAATAGATTCAGTAGATATTAATATATTTAGTTTTTCTAGACTGAGCCACATAGAATGTTTTATAGTATTGATACAGGTAGTTGTATAGCCATTCTATCACTTGATTAAAAATAATAATTCAAGTCTATATTATATAGCTCTTGATTGTTAAATATGAAAGCAAAGCCTTTTTTTTCTTTAAGAAGGCTTAACAAATAACTGAATGATCTGTTTCTAAACTTTGAAAGAAATCATACTGAGTGTGCTGAATAGTGTCGCAAAATTCTCTCCCACCTAGAACATAAGAATTTGACCTTATCCAGAAATAGGGTCTTTGCATATGTAATTAAGATAAGCAATAAATGAGATTATACTGGATTTGATTGGGCTCTAAATCCAATGAGAGTATCCTTATAAGAGATAGAAAAGACACACAGTCCCAGAGAGAAAGGTGATGCAAAAATGAATGCAGAGATTTTGTCTACAGGCCAAGGAATGCCCAGGATTGCCAGCAACCATCAAAATTTAGGAGAGAAGAAAAGGAAGCCTTCTCCTTTAGAGGCTCCAGAGGCAACCAACCTTGTTGACACCTTGATTTTGGACTTCTGGTCTGCTGAACTGTAAGACAATAAATTTCTGTTGTTTTATGTCCCCAAATTCATAGTAATTAGTTAAGTTAGGCTTAGAAAACTAGTACAATCCTGGTGGGTCTGAAAATAGATATGTAAGAAGTTTACAGGGTTTAGCCTCTATTTTATTTTGGTTTTCAAGTACTTTGTTATATAAAGAAATTTTCAACAATGTTTTTGAATCCTGGTAATAATAGGCAATGCTTTCACTGGCCGTTCATTATCTGTTGCCTGAAAGACCTTCTCCTCTGCATTTGGCTTTCTAAGTCATTTATGGCTTTCTGTACTTTCTTGGTTGACTCTCATTTCCCACTTTGACCTTCTGTTACTCCTTATACTATTCACTCTGCCACTATTCTTTCAACAACAATGTTATGCATACATTTTATTTCTTTTTTCCTCTCCGATACTCAACACGGACAGGACTTTTTATTTTGTCTCAAATAGCTGGCACTGGTACTTAGTAACACTTGTAATTTCTGCCTCTGCCCAAGCACAAAAAAACAATCCTACAGGCCGACTTTGGTAGGCTGAGTAATTTGTTAACAAAAAAATCAACCAGCAAAAACTATATAGACATAGATGTAGACATATATGTGTGTGTGTGTGTGTGTGTGTGTGTGTGTGTCTGTGTGTATCTCCTATAATAATGGGTAAAACAGTTTTCATAGTACGCCTGCTTTGACTTTATTGTTGTGAGTTTTTGCTTTCAAAAGCCCAATGAGAAATCAGTTTCTGGGCACAGCTGCTCTGCTGTGCAAGAGAATAAAATAGGGGTGGCTTTAACATATGCTAATCATCATGGTGCTGGTTCAATTTGAGCTACAAAATAGACAATATTACAATTCTCAACTGCTCTACTAAATAGCAGTTACTGTACACTTTAAGGTCATGTCAAAACTGTCCTTCCTGGTGGACTGTCATTAGAGTCCCATCTGTATCCATCAGAAATTTGTGATTTATGCTATTTTAATTAGTTTATAAATAATTCATAAAAGAACATGCTTGCTTGCTGTGAAATTCATTCTTTAAAGAGATGAAAAAAATTATGGAGAAAGAGGAAAATGGTAAATCTAAAGGTTTAGGAATTCTGTTTTGAGGGAACTATTTCAATAGTGTATTCTCAATTTGTATTCAACTTCGTGATTATGAGTAAGAGGAATTAATGTAGTAATATTTTACTGAATTGGCTACAGAAAAAATGAAGCTTATTAGAGCCTGTATCATGTCATCTGTGCATTTAAACCATTATTTGATCTTCTAAAGCCTGCAAAGATTCCAATTTATTCATTCTGTATCATATGTGTTCATTTTGCTCTTAAAAATATAGGTGTAAGGCACTGAATGTGCTTCCAATATGTTTACTATATGGCACTCAAGATGCCTGTATACTATTACCAAAATTGTAATAGTAATGTAATGATTAAAGTCCACACTGAAGTTTCACTGTGCCATTTTGAATGGTCTTTTCTGTAGTGATGAGTTAAGGTTAGAATCATCGCACAACAAAGATATCTTTGATTCTACTGTAACTAACTGGAATAGAGTTCAAGATAAGCTAACATTAAGTTGGCTGCCCGTTTTGAATTTTTATCATATAAAGCCAATCCAGTTAAACTAATTTCAACTCATTCTGGTCTTATGTCAAGGTTGAGAGTCTTTTTTTTAGGCTGAACTTTCTAGCCAGGGTCTAAAATTCTCAAAGGCTCTATTTTTATATATGGATATAATGTAAGGCATTAAATTATTCAGTATATATTTACCAGATGCTTTAGGTACGTGTCTGACATTGGGAGAGAGAGTGGGAAATTCAAGAATACATGTCTTGTAATAAGTACCACTATTAGACTCCTAAAAAGCCTAAATTTGGGGATACCCAAATCTGTGATCTGGTTTCAGCACGTTGAAGGTAATTACTTACACTTTGAAAGAGATCAGCCACAAAACTGCACTCAATTTTTGTTTTTATTAAAGTCACTGTATTTCAATAAAAGTTGATTTTAGAGCTAAATGTAAGCCAAAGTCATGGTAACTGACTAGTATTTCTATGATTCTGGATTTTAACCAAAGCAGGCATATTTCAGTTTAATACAATGTTTGAATAATTATATTGAGGTTTTGTTTAAAAAGGCTTTTCTGAATTTTTATTGTAATACCTATGTCTAGGCAAATATAAAGCAATGCCAATATTCACGTATTCAACTAGAGAACAGATATAAAATAATAGATTCTGAAATCATGTAAGGAAAACTAGACACATAAGAAGCTATGAACAAAATATCCAATAATAAAATGCAACTATTGATTGACAGTCATAGACTTTGTTGTGAATGAAACTTTCATGATGACATCAAAATGTCTTTTCACATTTTATCTGTAAACATGCTAAGAAATTAAAACTTAAAGCTATGTGCAGTTACATAGTTTTTCAGCAGTAGAGTGACATTATTCTATCTGTATGCTAGAAAAGTTACACAGGAGAGAGCAAGATGATGGAATAAATGACAGCACTGTTCATCTCCTCCATAGGAACACCAAATTTTAATAACAATCTGCATATAGAAAAGCACGGTCACAAGTCCCAAAAATAAAGTGAGAAATCACTGTATCCTAGTTGTAACTTTATATCACTGAAAGAGGCATTGAAGAGGGTAGGAGAGATAGTCAAGAATCATGGATCCCACCCCTTCCCTGTCCGCTGGCAACAGCCATGCAGCATGGAGAGAGTCTGTGCATGGGAGGGAGGGAGAACACAGGGGACTTTACATTGAACTCAGTGCTGTCCTGTCACAGCAGACAGCAAAGTTGTGCTGGGCTCAGCCAGCACCCGCGCATGGAGGAAGCATTTGGACCAGACCCAGCTAGAGGGAAAATACCCATCCCAGCAGTCAGAACTTGAGTTTCTGGGCAAGCCTGGCCACCACAGGACAAAGTGCTCTGGGATCCTGGGTAAACTTGAAAGGACAGTCTAGGCAACTCCTAGTGCTGGTCTGGACTAAGAGCCAGTGGACTAGGGTAGAATGTGTCCTAGGAAGACACCAGCTGGGGTGGCTAAGGGAGTGCTTATGCCACCCCTCCCCCAACCCCAGGCCATGCAGCTCACAGAAATGAAAGTGACTCCTTCCTTCTGCTTAAGGAGAATAAAGTGAAGAGTAAAGAGGCCTTTTTCTTTCATCTTAGATACCAGCTCAGCCACAGTAGGATATAGCACTAGGCAGAGCCATGAGGACCCCATTCCAAGCCCTAGCTCATAGACAACATTTCTAGACACACTAGGCCAAAAGGGAACCCACTGCCCTGAAGGGAAGAATGAAGTTCTGGCAGAGTTAATCACCTGCTGAATAAAAAGACCTTGGGCCCTTTTTAAAAAGCCAGCAGCAATACCCAGGTAGTATGCCATAAGCCTAGACTCTAAGATGTGCTGGCTTCTGGTGTGACCCAGCACATTCCTAGCTGTTATGGCTACAGGGAGATACCTCTTCTGTTTGAGAAAAGCAGAGGGAAAAGTAAAGGGGACTTTTGTATAGCACCTTAGGTCCCAATTTGGCCACAGTGGGGTAGACCAACAAATGGTCTCTCAGTTTCCCCAAATCCAGGCCTAGGCTCTTGGACAGCATTTCTGGACCTTCCCTGCCCTGAAGGCTGAGTCCCAGGCCTGGCAGCATTCACCATAAGCTGAGTGAAGAGCACTTGGGCTTTAAGTGAATGTTTGCAGTGGCATGGCAGAACCCACCATGGATTGAATGTAGTGGTGGCCACAGAGAGAGGAGCCTCTGCCTGTGGAAAGGGGAGGAAAGAGAGAGAAGGACTTTGTATTGTGGTTTCAGTGACAGTTTAGCCACAATAGAATAGAATATCAGGTAAATTTATAACGTTTTGGAATCCAATCCCTGGCTCCCAGACAGCCTGTTTGGATCTTCTAGGGATGTGGGGCAACTCATTACTCTGAAGGGAAGGACACAAACATGGCTGGCTTCACCATCTGTTTATAATAGAGCCCTTTCAAAGAGAGAATTCAAAATAGCTGTTTTGAGGAAACTCAAAGACATTCAAGATAACACAGAGAAGGCATTCAGAATTCGATGAGATAAATTTAACAAAAACATTTAGATAATTGAAAAGAATCAAGCAGAAATTCTAGAGTTGAAAAATTCAATTGACATACTGAAGAATGCACCTGAGTCTCTTAATGGCAGAATTGGTCAAAGGGAAGAAAGTATTGGTGAGCTTGAAGACAGACTATTTGAAAACACACTGTCAGAGGAGACAGAAGAAAAATGAATAAAAATGAATAAAGAAGGCCTACAAGACCTAGAAAATAGCCTCAAAAAGGCAAATATAAGATTATTGGCCTTAAAAAATGAGGTAGAGAAAGAGACATGGGGCAGAAAAATTATTCAAAGGAATAATAACAGAGAAATTCCAAAACCTAGAGAAAAAAATGCATATGCAAAAACAAAAAGGTTATAAAACACCAAGCATTAACCCAAAGATGACTACCTAAAGACATTTAATAATCAAAACTCCCAAGGTCAAGGATAAGGAAAGCATCTCAAAAGCAGCAAGAGAAAAGAAATAAGACTTAGTATGAAAAGACATAAAGAGAAATGAGAAAAAGATGAAAGCAGGGGGAAGAGGTTAAAGTGTAGAGTATTCATGAGTTTTCTTTTGTGTGTTTGTTATGCAATCAATGTTAAATTATAATCAGTTTAAAATAGTGCATTATAAAATACAACAGGTAGCCGAAAAAATAAAAGACAAGAGATTAAAGTATACCAGCAGAGAAAATCACTTTTACTAAAGGACAATAGGGAGGAAGGAAAGAAGGAAGGAAGAGAAGACCAAAAAACAACCATAAAACAAATAACTAAATGACAGGAGGGAGTAAGTCCCAATGTATCAATAGTAACATTGAATGTAAATGGACTAAACTCTCCAATATAAAGACATAGAATATTAAAAATGTATTAAAAAAAACATGACTCAGTGATCGGTTGCTTATAAGAAACACACTTCACTTTTAAGGATACTTATAGACTGAAAATAAAGGAATGGAAAAAGATATTAAATGCCAAGGGAAACCAGAAAATCTAATGAGTTGCTATACTTATATAACGCAATATACATTTCAAGACAAATATTGTAAGAGACAAGAAAGGTCATTATATAATTTAAAAAGTCAAGTCAGCAAGAAGATATAACAATTGTAAATATATATGCACACAACACTTGAGTCTGCATATATATAAAGCAAATATTAGAGCTAAAGAAAGAGAAGGACCTCAATACAATAAAAGCTGGATACTTCAACATCCCATTTTCAGCTTTGGACAGATCTCCCAGACTGAAAATCAATTAGGAAAGAAAATCAGACTTAATATGCAGTATAGGACAAATTAACCTAAAAAATGTCCACAGAACATTTCATCCAACAGCTGCAGAATACACATTCTCCTCGCCACATGGATGATTCTCAATGATAGACCATATGTTAGGTCACAAAACAAGTATTAAATATTCAAAAAAATTAAAATAATATTAAGCATCTTCTCTGATTACAATGGAATAAAACTAGAACTCAATAACAAGAGGAATTTTGGACACTGTACAAACACATAGAAGTTAAACAGTATGCTCCTGAATGACCAGTGAGTCATGGAGGAAATTAAGAAGGAAGTTGGAAAATTTCTTGGTACAAACTATAATGGAAACACAACATACCAAAACCTATGGGTTACAGCAAAAGCAGTACTAAGAGGAAAATTTATAGCAATAAGTGTCTACATAAAACAAAAAAGAAAAACTTCAGGTAAATAATCTATCAATGCGTCTTAAAGAAGTTAAAAAGCAAGAGCAAACCAAACCGAAAACTAGTAGAAGAAATAATAAAGAATAGAGCCAAAATAAATGAATTTGAAATGAAGAAAACAATACAAAAGATCAAGGAAATAAAAAGTTGTTTTTTTGAAAAGATAAAATCAACAAACCTTTAGCCAGACTAATGAAGAAAAAAAGGGAAAAGACCCAAATAAATAAACTGAGAGAAGATAATACAAAATTTTTGATACTAATAATTAGTGGCTACTAGAAGCAATTTTATACCAACAAATTAGAAAATCTAGAAGAAATGGATACATTCCTAGACAGATACAACCTACCAAGACTGAAATATGAAGAAATCCAAAACCTGAACAGACCAATAACAAGTAATGATATTGAAGCCATAATAAAAAGTCTTCCAGTAAAGAAAAGCCCAGGACCCTATGGTTTCACAGCTAATCCTATCAAGCATTTGAAGAAGAACTAATAACAATCCTACTGAAGCTATTCCAAAAAATAAAGGAAGAAAAAATACTTGTAAACTTATTCTATGAGGCCAGTATTACCCTGATAGCAAAACCAGACAGACACACATTAAAAAACAACAACTATAGGCCAATATCTCTGATAAATATTGATGCAGAAATTCTCAACAAAATACTAGCAAACCAAATTCAACAGTATGCTAACATGATCATTCATCATGACTGAGTAGGATTTATCCCTGAGACAGAAGGTTGGTTCAACAAATGCAAATTAAGCAATGTGATATATTGTATCAAAAGAATGAAGTACAAAAACCATATAATCATTTAAATTGATGGTGAAAACCATTTGATAAAATTCAACATCCCTTAATGAAAAAACCCTAAAAAACCTGGGTATAGATGGAATGTACCCCAACATAATAAAAGCCGTATACAACAGATCCACAGCTAGTATCATACCGAACGGAGAAAAACTGAAAGCCTTTTCTCTAAGATCTGGAACAAGACAAGACTGCCCACTTTTGCCACTGTTACTCAACATAGCGCTGTAAGGCAAGAGAAGAAATAAAGGGCATCCAAATTAGAAAGAAAGAAATTAAATTATCCTAGTTTGCATATGATATGATCTTATATTTGGGAAAACCTAAAGACTCTACCAAAAATCTAAGAGAATTAATAAACAAATTTTGCAAAGTTGCAGAACAAAAAGTATGCAAAAATTAGTTACATTTCTGTATGCAAATAGTGAACAATCTGAAACAGAAATCAAGAAAGTAATTATATTTACCATAGCCAAACATAAAATTAAATACCTAGGAATTAACCAAAGAAGTAAAAGATCTCTACAATGAAACACATAAAACACTAATGAAAGAAATTAAAGAGAAAACAAAAAAAGGAAATATATTCAATGTTCATGGATTGGAAGAATCAATATTGTTAAAATGTCCATGCTATGGAAAGCATTCTATAGATTAAATGTAATGTCTATCAAAATACCAATGACATTCTGCACAGATATAGGAAAAAAATTCTAAAATTTATATGGAACCATAAAATACCCCAAAGAGCCAAAGCTATCCTAAGCCAAAAGAACAAAACTGGAGGAATCAAATTACCTGACTTCAAATTATACTACAGAACTATACTAATCAAAACAATGTGGTACTGGCATAAAAACAGACACATAGAACAATGGAATAGAGTGAGAACCCAGAAACAAATCCCCATACTGACAGATAACTCATTTTCAACAAAACTGCTGAGAACATACTTTGGGGAAAAGACAGTGTATCTAATAAATGGTGCTGAGAAAACTGGATATCCATGTGCAGAAGAATGACACTAAACTCCTGTCTCTCACCATATACAAAAATCAAATAAAAATGTAATAAAGTCTTGAATTTAGGATCACAAACTATGAAACTACTACAAGAAAACACTGGGGAAACTCTCTAGGACATTGTTCTGGGCAAACATTTTTTGAGTAACACCCCACAAGCACAGGCAAGCAAAGCAAAAATGAACAAGTGGAATCACATCAAGTTAAAAAGCTTTTGCACAGCAAAGGAAACAGTCAACACAATGAAGAGACAACCCACAACCTACAGAATGGGAAAAATATTTTCAAACTACCCATCTGAGAAGGCATTAATAATCAGAATATATAAGAAGTTCAAACTACTCTGCAGATAAAATACCTAATAATCTGATTAAAAAATTGGCAAAAGGTTTGAATAGACATTTCTCTAAAGGAGACATACAGATGGTAAACAGGCATATGAAAAGGTGCTCAACATCACTGATCATCAGAGAAATACAGATAAAAACTACAGTGAGATATCAACTCACCCCAGTTAAATGGTTTTTATCCAACAGACAGGCAACAAATGCTGGCAAGGATGTGGTGAATAGGGAACCATTGTACACTATTGGTAGGAAGGTAAATTAGTACAACCAGTATGGAGAAGAGTTTGGAGGTTCCTCATAAAACTAAAAATAGAACTACCTAATAATCCAGCAATTCCCCTGCTGGGTATGTACCCCCAAGAAAGGAAATCAGCATAGAAGATACATCTGCCCTCCCATGTTTGTCTCAACACTGTTCACAATAGGCAAGATTTGAAAGCAAGATTTGCATGGTGTTGCAAATGGACGGAACTGGAGGTCATTATATTAGGTGAAATAAGCCAGCCACAGAAATACAAACATTGTATGTTCTCACTTACTTGTGGGATCTAAAACTCAAAACAATTGAATCCATGGAGATAGAGAGTAGAAGGATGGTTACAGGAAGCTGGTAAGGGTAGTGGGGGACTAGGTGGAGAAGCGGGGATGGTTACTGGGTATAAAAAAATACAGAATGAAAAAGGCTTAGTATTTGCTAGCACAACAGGTTGACTGTAGTGAATAAGAATGTAATTGTATGTTTTAAAGTAACTAAAAGGTTATAATTGTAACACAAAAGATAAATGCTAGAGGGGATGGATACTCCATTTTCCATGATGTGTTTATAACACATTGCATGCCTGTGTCAAAATATCCCACGTACCCCATAAGGAGTGATGAACTAGGAAATTATCTGTATTCTCTTGTCAAGTTTAAAAATATTTTAAAATAAAAATTAACACGTTTAACGTAAAGGAAAGCAACTATAAAACATTAAAAATAAGTTAAAATGCGACATTGTTCAATAGTTGAAATACACATTTTTTTCTGCTCTCTCATTTTAATAGTAAGCATATGTTACTATCAGGGAAAATGCTCTTTAAGAAATTTTTAGAATCTCTCTCTTCGTCTTTTTAATCTTATCTTCTGAAACAAATCTTATTTTTTTCTAAGTAAAAAAAAACTTTAAATGATTTTTAGCAATCTAAAAATATTTTATGTGAAGCAAAAATATTTTGACATTTATATAAATTATTTTGCTGTAGAAATTCATCCTAATTGAGATATTATGGTTGTAAATTTTGTAGAGAAATATAATGTATAAGCATATTTAGGTGTATTCCTAGTTCTTCAAGCTTGCTTCATATACCTGCCTTTCCACTTTATTGTCTGATACTCCTCAACACATTCAATTTGGCTTTTATTTTGCTCACTCAGCTGACACAGAAATGGCATTTTACTTTTTTTAAAAACCACAATCCGAAGGCTAAATCTCTTCTCTTTTTTCGTTCTTCTTGACCACACTGTAGTCATTGTACAGGAAATGATTCTCTCCTTCAAACTCAAAAGACTTGTGTAAAGGAAGTGATAGTATTAATTAGCTGAAAAATTATTCTCTTCTAAGCCACTGCACTGGTTAATTAATGGTCACTATAGAAGTGTTTGGAGAAGCTGGAAAAAAGGTCAGGGGTTTTAAAAAATAATTGTAAGAGTAAGATTATTTGGACTACAAACAATATGTATTTGAAAAATCTGTCTATTTAATCTTTGGTAATACTACCTGTGATATAATAAAAACACATCTTGATTTTGATCCCACATCATTCCTTTAAAATATGTTCAGCTTACTGTGTATAGTGGCTTTGTACTCTCTGAGCATGGGAAATACTTAAAACTGACATTTTCTCTTCTGGGCATGTCCAAGGGCCTCAGATATGTCCGTAGCTCGTCACCATCAGCTTCCTTCTACTGGGTCTTCTATGCCTCTCAAAAGGCACATTGTAGGGGGCAAAGATTGCCCACTCTGGCTTTCTTTCTTTTTTGTGTTCACAGAATGTACTCATGTATCCTTCTCCTTTTAGGAGAACAAACATTCTATCAAAAATTGGAACAAGACAAAACAAAACCCTCACCTGGCTTAGCTGACAAATCAGCTAGTTAGCTTATCTTTCTCCCTGTAGATTCTGCATTGAGAGTGAGGCTACAGTCCTGAATCTCTTCTATCCATAGGGAAGTGCATAATTTTCCAACAGATCCTACTAATGCTCACTTTCTCTAGAATTAAGGTGAAGGAGGTATCACCTCCAAAATCCCAATCCCAAACGGGGAATTCATGAACCCACAGCATCAACCTATCTCCAAGGAAATGTCTTCATACATTTTAAAAATCTCTCTTTTTGTGTGTGTATGCATCTGCGTGTCTAATAAATCTTTATTTTGCCTTTTTTTAAACTCTTATTCTAAGTTCAGGGGCCCATGTGCAGGTTTGCTAAATAGGTAAATATTTGTCATTGGATTTGTTGTAAAGATTATTTCATCATCCAGGTATTAAGCCTAGTACCCATTCATTATTTTTCCTGATCCTCTCCTTACTCCCACCCTCCACCCTCCAAGGGGCCCCAGTGTATGTTGTTCCCCTCTATGTGTCCATGTGTTCTTATCATTTAACTCCCACTTGTAAGTGAGAACATGTTGTATTTGGTTTTCTGCTCCTGTGTTATTTTGCTAAGGATGGAGCAGGCTCCATCCATGTCCCTGCAAAGGACATGACCTCATTATTTTTTATGGCTGTGTAGTACTTCATGGTGTACATGTACCTCATTTTCTTTATCTTTTGTCTATCTAAAGACCTGAATAGTGTAAGATTCATTAATATGAAATAAATTATTTCTCCAATATTTCTTTTGGAAAGAAGATGAAAAAATATTCTCCAATATTTCTTTTGGAAACATCTGCATACAGGAAAGCTTTGTTTTACGCTTATTACAGTATCTTATATCCATTGTATTGGTAACACATAAATAGTTCCATTTTAACACTGTCACACAGAAAATAAATCCATAGAAAAAAATTATGAGACTAAAGTTCTTAAATATTTGGAAACTATAGAAGAAAGAATGTACATCATCTAAGGAGGTGGTGGTCATCTGAGATAACTGATTTACATATTTCACACATATGCAGGGAGACAGAGAATTGAGCCATATGATTTTACAAAGTCATTTTTGTTCTACAGGAAATTTCACAAGAGCAAAATATGATAATATGATTAATATACCATAGAGTTGATACGTTAGGGTAGCAGGCAGGAAAGTGGGAGAAGTTGCCAATTAGAGGTCAAGATCTTATTCAAGAACAGAATTACACTTAAAATGACACATAAGAATGGAGACTATTATGTCTGTCTTCATATTTTTTTGAGAAATGTGTTAAATTTCTTCTAGCTCTGAAATACTTTTACTCCAGTGAAAAAAATCTCATGAACTCTTCACCCAGTTTCCCCCAGAGGCCATAACTTATATAACTATAGCACAACATCAAAACCAGAAACAACAATACAATGTATGTATTGTCTTGTGCCTTATTATCATATTATGTAACCACCAGCAGAATCAAGATCAGAACTGTTCCATCATCAGGAAGATTTCCCTTCTGCTAGAACTAGGGAATTAGGCACACCCACCCTGAAGCATGAGCAACCACTAATTTGTTCTATGTATAATTTTGTCATTTTGAGAATGTTATATAAATGGAATCATACAGTATATAACATTTTTGATTGGCATTTTTAGTCAGCATAGTGCCCTAGCATATAGTTGGATCATGTTTTTAAAGCCATTTTGCCTATCTCTTTTAATTAGTGAATGTAGCCTGTTTACCTTCGATAGAATTATATTAGGACTTAAGTCTGGCATTTTATTTTTTTCCTTTTTGTTCGTGTTTCTCCATTTTCTTTTTGCTTTTTTACTCTGTGTTACTTGAATATTTTTTAGAATAATATTTTACTTTGTATAGTGTTTTTGTACATCTTGTATAAAATTTTAGGGGTTTTTATAGACATTAAGTTATATATACATAACTTACTAGATTCTGCTCATGCCCACATTTTATGTTTGAGTTTAGTATAAAAATCTTATGTCACCTTGTCTCTTAATTCTATATAGTCTATAACTGTCCTAAATATTTTCTCTACCCGTGTTTAGAACCACATCAGAAAATATTATCCTTTTTGCTTCAACCATCAAACATAATTTTTAAAATTCAAAAAAAGAAAGAAAATCTTTTGCTCTTTAAATTTTTCTTTCTTTCCACCAGATGTCCCAAGATTTCTTATTTTACCTTTTCCTCCTATTTAAAGAACTTCCTTTAGACAGTTTTTCAAGGTAGGTCTGGTCATAAAAATTCTCTTAGTTTTTCCTTCATCTGGGTATGTCTTTATTTCTTTTTCATTTTGCTGGATATAGAATTCAGACTTGACAGTTGCTGCTTTTCCAGAATTTGAAAAATGTCATGCTACCTCCTTTTGGGTTGCATAGCTTCAGATGAGAAATTTTAATTAGGATAAGGTATCATTTCTCTTTCACTGCCTTCAAGATTTTTCTTTGTCTTTCTTTAGTTTTCAGAAGTTTGATTGTGATGTGTCTTTGTGAGGGTAGTTTGGGGTTTATCCTGTTTAGGGCTTACTCAGACCCTTGCACCTAGTGGCTTTTTTCAAATTTGGGAAATTATTGCTATTATTTCTTTGAATGTATTCTCAGCCCCATTCTTTTCTAGGATGCCTAGCCCAGATCCGTCCCCTTCTAGGACACCAAGAACATGAATGTTAGCTCTTTCGTTATAGTCAGTTAGGCAGATGGATTTGAGACTGATTTCCCGTCTACTCAGCTGCAGCACCTGATTAAAGCCTTCTTCCTTGGCAATACTCCTTGTCTTAGGGATTGGCTTTCTATCAAGCGAGCAGCAGGACCTAGACCAAACCCCTGGTTTTCCAGTAACACAATGTCTTCATCTGCCTTTGCTGATAGGGTTGAGGTTGATCCTATGATTTTTTTCTGCCTTGCTTAACTGGGATAAGGTAAGACAGTTATGTCCATAAGTTCCTGCCTTGCTGGAGTTCCACTTTCTGGTCCTAGATAAAGCAGAAGTTTTGGGGAGATTTGTTGTTTGTTGTTATGGTTGCTATCATGCCCATTGGCTATTCCAGGTTGCCAGCTTCTGTAGCACCAAGACTGGGGCATATGAATAAAAAAATCCAAAAACTAAAAAACAATGTAATGGTTAGTGTTATATGTCATTGTGGCTAACCTGTAGTTCTCAGTTATTCAACTGAACATTAATCTAGATGTTACTGTGAACATATTTTATATAGATGTGATTAAAGTCTATAGTTTACTTAAAGTAAAAAAGATTATTTTAGATAATCTAGGTGAACTTCATTAAAACATCTGACAAGCCTTAAAAGCAAAATGAACACATCCCAGAAGGAAACAAATTCTGCCTGTGGACTGCAGTTTCAGCTTTTGCTTGAGTTCTAGCCTGTCTTTTCTCATAGCCTGCCCTACAGATTTTGAACTTGCCTAGCCAGCTGCCACAGTCACATAAGCCAATTTTTTGCAATAAATATTTTGGTACTAAGAAGTGTACTACTATAACAAATGCCTAAAAACATGGAAGTGGTTTGGAATTGGATAATGGGTAAAGTCTGAAAGAATTTTAAGAAGCACAATAGAAATTGGGAGATTAAATTCAAACGTGATTTTTTGGTAGGGGGACACAAACTTTCAGTCTATAATACAGCCGTAGCAAACTAATACGTAGACTGAATCCATTTTTTAAGTGAATGGATGGAGAGGGAATATGGTAATGTGGTTACCTCTCAGCCTTCACATATGTACCTCCGTCTGTACAGGTGTGGGAGGTCTCTCATTTCCCCCAACCTTGTCACTTTTCATTAAACCTAGCATTTCACTGGGAATTGATGATTTTACTATTTAAATTATGTTGCACTATGAAGACTGAATGGATATGAGCAGGGGAGTCAGATTGGCTGACCTTGCAACCTGGCTCTGCCACTTAGTGTCTATGTAGGGTTGTTTTGGCAAATAATATTTACTGCTTTTGCATCAGTTTCCACATTTTTAAAATGTGCATACAGTCTAACTCTTAATATTCTTGTGAGAATTAAATGAGATAATCTAAGTTAAATGCTAAACAGTTTTCTTTTATGCCCCTTATTTTTGCCCTTTATTCTACTTTCCTGGAAGATTCAAATTCACTTCTGTTGGGAGCTATTACCACTGGAGAGGCAACAGAGAATAATGACTAAAAGCATGAACCTTGGAGAAGATGAGCCAGGGCTTAAATAAAGGCTTTGCTGCTTCCTTGGTTTGTGATCAAGATTAGATTACTGAATATCAGAGTTGCTGTGGGAATTTGATAAAAATAATGATTATAATCTATTCAGCTTCATGCTTGGCACACAGTATTCAATATTTAGTAAATATTATGAGCATATTCCAAGCCTTTGGTTTGTAGTTAGTGATATCTTATGATTCATCATATAATTATATAGAGCTGTGGTCACTCCTTTGCATTAACTTTATTTTTTATATCCTCCCTCCATTTCTGGCTCACTTAAGTCAGGTTTTTCAAAATCTCCTGAGAGCAGTCATTCCTCTTCCTATGTGTCTGCCTTGGTTTTACAACACGTCACATATAAACCACAGGTTCTCAGCTTTCAAGCTTCTATCTATTCATATCTGCCTCTTTGCCTCCAGAATCTCATAATTTCCTGGCTTGATCTCATTTAACAAGTAAGCATATCTTCTTATAGATTTGTTTTCTCTTGGTTTCTTCTTTCCATATTTACTATTGTACTTGTGAATGGCCTTCATATCTCAGGTTTAAATACCCAAGATGGAAAAAAAAAGTAATCAAATCTTTTGAAAGCATTTTTTTTTAATGTCAGCAATATTGTATAAACAGTTCTGTACCCAATAAGCACATAAAGCACGTGCTTTTGGCATATCCAGAAAGGGACATTACATTTTTAAAAATCAGAATTGATAAATGTATACAGAAATACACAATTGCAAAATTCATAAAGTATTTTAAATTTTGGTACACGTGCAATTTTTGTTTTAACTTTACATATGGTTGTTTTGAGTTAAAGTGGAAGAAAAGGGATGATGAAATTTCTCCAATGCCTAGCTTTTTCTAAAAATCCTGGTGTAGCACTGGGTGCAAATTATATATTAGAATGTAAGAAAAACTAACGTTGTTTTCATGCCTCTGTTTTGGGTTGTTGTTTCTCCGTTGCAAAAGTTGGGGTTATATTCCACAATGAGTAAACTCCCTACAAGCATGTTCTACTTTCAGCTTTAGTCTTTCACTTCTTGCCAGTCTTATAAATAACTTTAGGTAGTCTTTCCCTTTTTCAAAACTATCTTTCTGTAATCATCAGAGTAATCTATCTACACTACAAGTCCAACATCTGTTCATGAGAAGTCCCCCCTCTTAACTACTCTTTGATAGTTCTCATTACTCATAAACTTCTCTCTGAAATGGCTAGGCTTCACCTGAAGAGCCTGATACAGTCTATAGCCCTGATACCCAGATTTTCTTATCCTGTAGGTCTAGGGGAGTGGCTCAAGAATCTATATTTTAATAAGACCCTAAGGTGACACTAATGCAAGTAATCAATAGATACACAAAGAAAAACTGTATAAAATCAGTGCCTTCCATGGCCTGCTTCTTCCTGACCTCTTTTTGCTGCTCTTCTGCATTCCACATTAGTTCTCAGATTAAACCCACTGAGAATTCCTTGCACATCCCACTCCAAGTCAAGCCTCCTTGATTTTACTGATATGATTTCTGCTATGTTCATCTTCTCTACTCCTCTTCCACTGTTTAATTTGTATTCATATTCTCCCTTTTATACGTATTGCCAAATATAAAACATATGGGTAATTTATATGACCACTCTTCCTGCTGCTATCTCCTGTGGGTTAGGAAACTATCTTCTTTGTTTTCTTCATTATAACTTTGTAACTTTTACCATTTGATATTGCAAATATCTGTTAAATTTTCTATCTCATCCACAAGACCTTTAGCTTATTGAAAATAATTACCATTTTTGGTTGTTTGTATGTCTACTGCCTAATATAACATATTTTAGTAGTAGGCACACAATGTGTGTTTGCTGAAATTGCTGTTTACAAATTTAATAATAATATAGACTATCATATATAGACATGTATTTCTGTATTTCTAAAGAATATCTTTGGGGCTGGGCATGGTTGTTCATTTTTGTGATCCCAGCACTTTGGGAGGACTAGGATTACATGACAAGCCTAGGAATTCAAGACAAGCCTAGGTAATTTAGTGAGACCCTGTCTCTACAAAAAATAAAAAAGCTAGCCAGGCATGGTAGTGCATGCCTGTGTTTCCAACTACTTGGAAGGCTGAGGTGGGAGAATTGCTTGAGGCCAGGAGTTCAAGGCTGCAGTGAGCTGTTATCATGCCATTGTACTCCAGCCTGGGTGACAGAACAAGACCTTGTATCTAAATTAAAAAAAAAATCATCAAATATATAATATAGTATTAAATATAATAATAAAACTCTCTTAATTCACTACAAAATAACAATGGTTCTATGAGATGAGTTATTTTTTTCTTTTTTTTTTTTAAGAGACAGGATCTCACTCTGTTGCCCCTGCTAGAGTGCAGTGACATGATCATAGATCACTGCAGCCTTGAACTCCTGGGCTCAGGTGATTGTCCTAATGTTACTCTTCCAACATTCTGGGATTACAGCGGTAAACCACCAGGCCTGGTGTAAGATTTTGTATTTTGTAAACATACTTTTAAGTTTACTCAAAAGTAGGGACTTATGGAGTGAAAGTTGGCAGCAATTTAATAGAAAAAATAGCCAAAACTTGCAGCTTGTGGCATGAAGGTAGAGAAGAAACCTTGTTGAACATACATAGAGAATTTAGGTGACTAGACTATTTTGACTTCCACTGGAACTGGGTCAAAGTTAAAGCTCACCATCCTGCTCTCTAGCAAAATGTGCCCTGGGTTGCTTAATGACCACAAATGGTCAGGACCTCAATTTTTTGTCTCATCCAATGAGTCCTCTTGTCTCTCAAGACACTAAAATGAGACTGAGTCATAAGGAAATCAATAGTGTTATATTCAAACAAGGCTATTTAGACCAAACACATTCCATTTTCTCATTAGCCATGGAGCCAAAGCGGGTGGGGTAGAAATTGCATTCATCTGAAATTGCACACAGATGGAACTGTTGCTTCCCGCTGCCTGGTGAAGGCTCCAAAGTGCACACAATCAAATGTATTTTATTAAAACTAACTTTAAAAATGCATGTTGTTTCCTTCCATTTATTCAATAATTGATTAATTGGAGCCTGCTTTACTTCTCCCAGTGACATTTCCATTTCATTTTGTCTTTACATTTTAAAAGTTGGATTGGCTTTGGGAATTACATTTTAGCATATTTTTTAAAAGTTAGAGTTAAGTTTTGAAAAGACAATATGTCAATTTTCTAAAGTCATTAATTGGGGTACATGAACTTATTAATTCTCATGTTTTATGCTTGCCTAAACAAAGCAGAAGTTATATAAATGAAAAGGTAAGAGGGCTGTTTCTATTCCTTCCAGGCACTTTAGGAATTTGTCCATCCACTAGTTCAGTTCTAGGTACTAGAAGTATAATGTATGTCATATAATTTTTAAGTTTTTAGTAGCCACATTAAAAAAATAAAATAGTTGAAATTAATTTTAATACTATCTTTTATTTTACCTAGTATATCCAAAATATTATTTCAACATGCAATCAATATAAAAGTTATCAATGAGATATTTCACATTATTTTCTTAGTAATATGTCTTTGAAATATGGTGTATATTTTACATTTACAGTACATTTAAATTATTTGGGCTAGGTTTATTTTATGTGTTCAATAGCCATGTATGACAAATGGCTACCATAATGGACAACACAGTTCTACATGATGGAACTATAGCACCGCATGAATACTAAATCCCTTTGAAATTTGCCCCATTGCATTTTATCATGGTTCAAATTTTAAAATCTCTTGAACATTTCTTTTTCCCACTCTGACCATCCTCCCCCCCACCATGAAAAAGTAGTAGTTATTTTACTTCAATGTGTCTGTGATTATACTGGATGTGATAGGTTTATGATCAGTGCTCAGAGAGCAATTAGCATTTGAATTAAGCCACATGAAGGTAACAACAGGCGATTACCCATTTTAACAGCTGCTAAGTGGTGTTAATTGCTGGCTGTAGACCACAAGCTGAGCAATTTTCTGTGTATTGTACAAACAGAGCAAAACAAAGAAGTTAAAAGGAAAAGTATTATCCTCATTACAATTTACTACAGTATTTGAAGACATAATGTACCCTTATAGCCTGTGCCATTTATGCAATCGACCATGAACAGGTGATATTTATGGGATAAATGGTATACATGTATGATTACTAATTTTTATTTTCAAATCAATGTTAAAAACAATTATACGTATCTACAAAAGGTAGAAATGTTCTAAACATTGTATAAGTTTATGAAATTGTCAGTAGATGGGGTAAGTTATTGATATTTAAATTAATTAGGAAGAGATATGGTTAAAGGTTGGAGGAGACTGGAAAATATACAGCAGAGTTAAACTAGATCTGTGAAAAACTGTCAAAAAGAAGTGGAAGTTATGAGATCATTGGACTGTGCTGAGCTAAGATGTATCAATATTTATTGACATTTCAGTTTTGTTATAGTTCCTGAAATGATGGCTAGAAAAAAATGTAATTGGTTTCTATTTACAGTCAATAAGATGGTGAAACTGATCACATAGAGAAATTAAGTGTTCAGCTATTTAAAATGGTTATGTGGAATAGAATATGTCAGGGCCTAGCTTAGTATATATATTACTGCATTTATTTCAGCAGAAGCTTCCCACATACAGAATTTCCTTGATATCTCATCCTAAGCAACTATCTGTTGATTGTTTTGAAAAGGGCTAAGCACATACCTAAACTTGCCACCTGATTCCTGTTGGAATTTTATATTTTTCTACCAGGTCATTTCACAGCTCTAACCAGGTTATTAACTTTTAACCTGGATGGCCTTAATATTCCCCTCAACCTGAATAAACAACAGGTATGTTCCTTCCCAACTATTGGCACCTAATCTCTCTTTTCTTAGAGCATTTACTTTAGAAAACTTGCAATTTAAGTTATTTCTCTACCCCTTTGAGATGTAAATCTTCTCCCAACCTCTTGCCAGTTTTACAACACAGAAATTTCTTTCTCAAGAACCTGGGAGCAATTTATTTGAAATGTAATAATCAAGAAAGAGAGGGTCCCTGTATACCAGTCTCTGTGAGCAGATAGAAGCCTTTGTTAAATGTCAAGTAGAAAATACACGTGGGCTAATTACATGTACCAGCCTCTCCCTTAATGTCCTCCCAGACTTTTCCATCAACTCATCTGAGTGTTTATAAACTCTCTGGCCTTTTGTTTCAACAGAGTTGAATTTAATCTTCTCCCCTGTTGTACTAGACGTAACCCCTATTACAGTAGTCTTGATTAAAGTCTTTCTTCCTGTTTAACTTCATTTGGTGCAATTTTTCTTTGACATTATTAAAAGCCCCATACCTGGGAATAAAGAGGAAGAACCTTGGAAATTTATCCTATCAAATTACATCTTACACTTAAGGCACTCCAAAATCATCTGTACTTAACCTAGTACTACATAGCTGGCAAAGATGTTTTTATATGGAATTATATATGGAAATTATAAATCTACATGGAAAAAGGTGTGAAAAGAAATGCCAATTGGGTGCCTTGTTTATCTCAGAAGTAGAGATGCTGAATGTGAAGTATAGAAGGGTAGAGCTTAACTGCTTTTATGTTCTTCTTTCTATTCTTTTATATTTTGCATTTCAAACTTTTGCGTGTGTGTGTGTGTGACGGAGTCTCGCACTGTAGCCCGGGCCGGAGTGCCGTGGCGTGATTTAGGCTCACTGCAACCTCTGTCTCCTAGCTTCAAGCCATTCTCCTGCCTCAGCCTCCGGAGTAGCTCGGTTTACAAGCGCCCGCCATCACACCCGGCTAATTTTTTTGTATTTTAGTCGGAGAGGGGGTTTCACTATGTTAGCCAGGCTGGTCTTAAATGCCTGACCTCGTGATCTGCCCACCTGGGCCTCCCAAAGTGCTGGGATTACAGGCGTGAGCCACCGCGTGCAGCCCGAACTTTTTAAATCTTATAAATACGCAGACACACACATACAGGTTAAAAAAAAAAAAAAAAAACTTTTCAAAAATAAGAAAAAATGCAGATTTGGGAACAAATATGTCTATGACTGATGATTTCTTTAGAAGAAATGATTGTTATAAAATAAGTGATAGATTTAAAAACGTATTTAAAAAAGCATTTTGAAGGTATGTGTAGTTGGGGAAAGATAATTAAAAACAAAATCTCCTCCTTACCCAGAACATCTCCATAAGGGTAAAAGAGAAAGAATACAATCTTACTGCTGACGCGGTATTAAACAAGAACATAATGTGCATCACAAGAAGTCTGCTAAAAGATTGCAAAGGCAGAAAGAATCTTTTTACCTTTTTATACAGCCAAGCAGATAAAATTCATTATACACATGTTCTCAAGGTAAACAGTAAGTAGTCCTCAAGTAAGAGGACTTGACACCATTTGTCACACATAGTTTATCCTAAATTCACTTGGCAATTGGGGTGATCATTTGTGTTTGTTAATTGGCTTTATACAAAGGAAAAGTAAATTGCTCAAATCTTTTTGAAAGAAGGTAGTTTTGCCAATTGGAGCCAGAAACCAACCAAAGGTAGGCTCCTATCCTCACAAAGAAACAAGGAAATAGTGGCACTATATGCTTGGCTGTTTACATTGCAAAAAAATGATTCCCAGGTCCTTGAGAAAGACATTCCTGCATCCTAAGGCTGGCAAAAGTCATATGTAGCTTTTAGGAGGATTTACATACATTTCAGAGAGACAGATAAAAAACTTAAAAGTACACGTTTTCTAAAGAAAATTACAAGTTTTCTAAGAAAAAGAAAAACAGGGAAACCCCTTCCTTTATTTTCAATGGGGAGAATTAAGCCTCTTATTTTTAATTTATGTTTGGATTTGTAGTCCAACTATTCTCCTTTAAAGAAAGAAACAATCAAAGAATCAAATAAAAATACTTTACAAGAAAGGCTGAGAGTCGTCTATTTACAAATTGAAGGCATAGTTTGATTAATTTTTCTTTTTTTGGGACGGAGTCTCACTCTGATGCCCAGGCTGGAGTGCAGTAGTGTGATCTCAGCTTACTGCAGCCTCTGCCTCCCAGGTTCAAGCGATTTCTTCTGCCTCAGTCTCCCAAGTAGCTGGGATTACAGGTGAATACCACCATGCCCAGCTACTTTTTGTACCTTTTAGTAGAGACGGTGTTTCACCATGTTGCCCAGGCTGGTCTAGAACTCCTGGCTTCAAGTGATCTGCCCGCCTCGGCCTCCTAAAGTACTGGGATTACAGACATTAACCATGGTGCCTGTCCTGAAGGCATAGTTAATGCAATGATCCTGACTTAGTGGACCCCTAAGTACATATTTGAAGGATCATGATGGAGGCTTCCTGTTGCCTAGAACACAGTTCATAAGATCTTCTTCCCTTAATCTATGCCTTTTGGGTTTAAGTAATATAATTTCTTGTTTCTCTATTTATTCTATAGTATTTTAAGGGATTTCAAAAAATAATACATATCTATAAGGTAGAAAATAAAACTCATCTAACGTTCGCATTTTGGTGTATTTTTAGTGTCAAATTATAGCATATATATGATTTTCATTAAGTTTTTAAATGCAGTGTTACATATATTTTGATGTCTGCAACTAATTTTAGAACACTTCATAATGTATTATATTGTGTAAGCTGTGCTCCAGGACCTTCTAGTCTCACAATCAGAAATTTATACTCCAGGAGTGTTCAACTAGCATGTATCAGAAATTCCACATTACAGAGGCTGGTACAGTGAGTAAGTTAGCTGTCTCTATGCCCCATCTGCACCAGAGGCTTTGTATAATTTATTAAAGAACTGAGTTTTTATTGGTAAAATTAGTTAATTGGCAAAAAACATGTTAGAAATGGTATTAATGACAAATGAACTATGTAGGATATTGTAGAGCTATTTCTTCATCTTTACATTAGCATGGTATAAAAATTTAAGGAGCACTTTAACATGTAATGCTGGTAAAACTTCGTAGGCTTGATCCCTAAATGGTCAATATTCTAATCCTTCTCTGAGAATCTTAGTAAGAAGTTCCTACTAAATGGTGAGATTAATAGTGTAGCTGGAATATGGTCCCGTTTGCCTCAGGGAAACCTTCAATAGATGATATTTTGAGAACTCTAAAAATGGCAGAGATCTTATAAAACATTTTGTGTCACTCTCTTAATAAATGCATGCTTAAAATAAAAGTCAGCAGGTTGGGTGTGGTGGCTCATGGCTGTAATCCCTAGCACTTTGGGAGGTCAAGGCAGGTGGATCACTTGAGGTCAGGAGTTTGAGACCTGGAGACTCTGACTCAAAAAACAACAGCAAGAACAAACAAAAACAAGTCAGCATGTGTGGCAGAAAAGGGCCAGAGATTTGCTTTCATTAAAATTTTTAATAGGATGATTCTGGAGGAGCAGCCGACCCTTTCCAAAAGCTACTGGAGGCTACTAAAAGTGGCAAAATAACTTAACAGTTGTTTAAGACAAACTTGGCTTAGCCCAGTTTGGAAGGTAAATATTTCTGTTATTGCATTTCTCAATAAACGCTATGATATTGACTGAATCTTTCATAAGATATAACACAATTTATCTAAGCAGGATCAACCGATGGTCATATGGATGGCAAACAATGTAGCAAAGAACATCTTTGTTCACGAGTCTTTGAATTTATTTTATTGGGCTATAATGCCAGAAGAGATAGTACTTTTTCAAAATATATGATTGTCACCTTTTATACAATGTCAAATGATTTTCCAGCAAATATAGGAAGGTTTATAATCCCCTTATTTCTTTGAAAGGTAGAAAGTTAACTCAATATTCTCCAAATCATATTTTATTTTCAAGGTAATGGGAAAGAAATACAAGTCAAACCTCCTGACATTTGAGGAAAAACTATCTTTATCAACCATCTCTTTCCTCTATTTCACTCCGTGTGCAGACTGCACACACTCATAGATAAACAGTAACCTAGAGGAGTGGCATCATTTTAATCACTAGTGTGATCAAGGAATACTTTAGAAGCCTTGAGAAGGCAATGGCTAGAAGAAAATATCAGAACATTAATTTCATAGAAGCGAAGTTATTGTCACTTCTGAAGGAAATAATGGATAGAGCACACCAAAGGAGAACAGCCTATACCAAAAAGTGTGTATTCAACCCAACTTAGAAGATGCGGAAAATATTTTTTTGCATGTTTATAAAGAATATTGTGGATTATCTAAATAAATAAGTCTTTGGGTAAATTTAAGAGCTAGTCAAGATAATATTTTTTAAAATTATTTTTGACCATGGCTGATGAGGGCTAGAGGCAAAATGAGAGCACTGTCCGGATGAGAGGCTTGTTTCTGTGTGTGTTTCTGTGTGTTTGTGTGTGTGTGTTTGTGTATTTGTGCCTGTGTATATGTGTCCATGTTGTTATTTGTGCCAATTTTGGGTTGGGTCCTATAATGAGGAAAATGTGACCTCTTTACAAATGACAACATAATTTGGTTGTTATTTCTTCGGCAGGAATATTGACTTTGTGAATATATCCCTGTATTAGTCAGGGTTCTCTAGAGGGACAGAACTAATAGGATAGATGTATATATAAAGGAGAGTTTATTAAGGAGTATAATAAGGTAAACTCCCACAATAGGCCATTTGCAAGCTGAGGAAAAAGGAAGCCAGTCCCTGTCCCAAAACCTCAAAAGTAGGGAAGCTGACAGTGCAGCCTTTAGTGTATGGCCAAAGACCTGAGAGCCCCTGGCAAACCACTGACATAGGTCCAAGAGTCCAAAAGATGAAGAACTTGGAGTACAATGTTCAAGGGCAGGAAGCATCCAGCATGGGAGAATAATGTTGGCCAGAAGATTTAGCCAGTCTAATTGTTCCACATTCTTCTGCCTGCTTTTATTCCAGCCCTGCTGGCAGCTGATCAGATGGTGCCCACCCAGCTTGAGGGTGGGTCTGCCTCTCCCAGTCAACTGACTCAAATGTTAATCTCCTTTGACAACACCCTCACAGACACACTCAGGAACAATACTTTGCATTCTTCAGTCCAATCAAGTTGACACTCAGTGTTAACCATCATGATCTCTAAATTATCAATAGTCGGGAAACAGGATGGGGCCTGAGGGCAAAGGGTAAAGCTTTAACTCCTTTCAAGTTCTTTGTATTTTTTTTACATCTTAGAATTTGTATCTTTTAATCTTTTAATTTAAAAATATATATAAGACAAAAAATTTTAAACCAGAAACTATATCATAATTAAAATAATTATGTATATGTAGATGAATAAAAGTAAAATAATTGAATAAATAGAATTTTTAATAGTAAACTGTTAGCTGAGTTTATTTATTTATTTCATTTATTTATTTGTTACTAAACAGAGTCTCACTCTATCACCCAGGCTGGAGTGCAGTGGCATGATTTCAGTTCACTGCAACCTCCATCTCCCGGGAGCAAGCAATTCTCATACCTCAGCCTCCCGAGTAGCTGGGAGTATAGGCGCCTGCCACCATGCCTGGCTAATTTTTGTTTTTTTTAGTAGAGATGGGGTTTCACCATGTTGACCAGGCTAGTCTCAAACTCCTGACCTCAGGTGATCCGCCCACCTCGGCCTCCCAAAGTGCTGGGATTACAGGCGTGAGCCATGGCGTCCTGCCTGAGTTTTTTTTTTTTGGTAATGAATATTCAGCATAGGGTAGTTAGAATCACATGGCAATCAAAATAAAAGCACACTACAAGTACCTGAAAATGTAATTGGTGACTTTGGGAAAGTTGAACTTTGTTGCATCTGTACTAGTTAAGAAAAGTAAGAGGCTGAACTATTATTCAATTAATTTGATTACAAAGTAGAGAATCAAATAGAATTTTTCGAACTCCCAGCATATTAGTTAATAATAAAGACAGAAGATACATGTCTGTGGTTCAAGCTCTTGAGACCCTCCTTATTCTCATGTTCTGAATCTATTTTATTTCTTCAATTTTGATTTTTTTTGTTCTTAGTAAGTGTAGTCTCTGACAGTGAAGAATAGGAACTCGGTAAATAAGTTGTAGCATGGCATTGCCATTTCCCAAAATGCAGTATTGCAAATACTTTTCGTGCTTGAACTGAATCTGTGGTCTGAAAGACTCGTTCAAATATGCAAATGTCTGCAGAATGAAGACAATAGACAGAGATAGGAGGGGGAGCTCATTTATATGCAAATGACTTTGTAAAGAAGTAATAGAGCATGTATTTCTCCATGATATAAAAAAATTCAATACACTGAAAAATAGCCTTGTTACAAGAAATTAAGTTAAGGAAGGAAAAACACAATATCTTAATGGGTAGAAAAACTGTCTGGTTATCTGATATGCATGAAAATTTTTCTGGGGACCAAATGCAACCACTTAGACTAACAAGAAAGAAACTGATCAAAGTCTTATCATCTAAAGAATACTATGAGCTATTATTTTTCCCTTCAAGCAACTATCAAAGTAATGTTAAATAAGCATATTTTTAAAAGTCAGACATACAAACCATGGCAAATATTATCATTATTTATAAGAAAAATACATCTCCAAAATGGTATAATTCTTTTGCATTGAGACAGAGTGAACATGATTAAAGAAAACTTTAAAACAGATTTATATATATATTAAATTCTTTTGTCACAGTGCTAGTTATAGGATTTTAAAACTTATGAGCTTTTAAACTTTGGGTAGGTTAAATGGCATATGACATATTTGTAAATATTGTATGTATCTATTAAAAATTTGTAAGACTTTTAGACTTTAACCTGATACAATTACAAAGAACAATCTGGTATACATTTTGGTCATTGTGCTGAAGAAACTAAGTCACAGAAAGGAAAAGCAACTGAGAGAGAAAATCAGAAATGATTTCATATTTTGTAATTCCAATATGATTTAAGTGTTATTATTAAAGGATAAAAGTTTTAAATGTAACAAGTGATAAAAGCTAATTATAAAATATAAGGCATTATTATTAACTAAAAAGACTATTGGTACCTGTATGCATCTCACACACAGAAAGCATAACTTTCTTATCTTTGATGTGCTTGCAAATTGGTGGTATCTACAGGAAATTATTTTAAGAGAACACACTCCATTTCTTGAGGAGTTTGCACTTAGTGATCATTTCACTTATCCTTTTATTCCCAAATCCTTTAAACATAATTTATGTTTAAGAAAGAAAAATAAATGTGTTAGATGAACTTTTGAGTAGCTAGACAGGGAAGAGCAATGTAAAATTGTTTTAGAGAAAAAAGTAAATAGAGAAAATGTGAAGGCATTGAATGTTTATATCAGAGCAATATCTGGCTGAATCACCTTAGAAATGTTCAGTTCAAGTGTCAAATAAGTGTGCATGCTTCAACTTTGTTCTTTCAATTTATTCCTAGTTAAATAAATAGGTCATATTTAACCATGCATTTATTAAGAGAGTGACACAAAATGTTTTATAAGATCTCTGCCATTTTTAGAGTTCTCAAAATATCATCTATTGAAGGTTTCCCTGAGGCAAATGGGACCATATTCCAGCTACACTATTAATCTCACCATTTAGTAGGAACTTCTTACTAAGATTCTCAGAGAAGGATTAGAATATTGACCATTTAGGGATCAAGCCTACGAAGTTTTGCCAGCATTACATGTTAAAGTGCTCCTTAAATTTTTATACCATGCTAATGTAAAGATTAACTTATCAGACTGTTGAAACCCAAGTATTAATTGGTACATCAAATCTTTTGAATAATTTGAGGAAGATCAAGGCATATGGAATCATATTGGAAGATAATAACCCCAAAGGAACTTCTAAATTAAATTGAAAATTTGACTATGAAATAAAGACAAACCTGCTATATATCTATAGGAGACATGATCTCCTATAAAAATTATACAAAGTCATCACTTTTAAGTTGCATTTGCATTCATTTGCTAAGACTACCAGTAACAAAGACCAAAAACTGAGTAGTTTAAACCATGGAAATGCCTTTTCTCCTGACGGCTACCAGTTTGAGATAAGTTGTCAGCAGGGTTAGTTCCTTCTAAGGGCTTTCAGGGAAGGATCTGTACTAGGTCTTTCCCTTTGGCTTGTAGATGGTGGTATTCCCTGTGTGTCTTCACATTGGGTTCCCTACATGCACGTGTGCATCGGTTTCCACATTCCCTCTTTCTACCAGAATGCCAGTCATGTTGCATGAAGAACCCCCGCCCCGCCCCCACAATGACCTCTAGGGGAAGAAAAATATTTTTTCTGGCAGGGCGTGGGGCTCACAACTGTAATCCCAGCACTTTGGGAGGCCCAGGTGGGTAGATCACTTGAGGCCAGGAGTTTGAGACTAGCCTGGCCAACATGGTGAAACTCTGTCTCTATAAAAAATACAAAAATTAGACTGGTGTGGTGGTGTACACCTGTAGCCCCAGCTACTCAGGAGGCTGAGGTGGGAGAATCATTTGAACCCAGGAGGCAGAGGTTGCAGTGAGCCGAGATTGTGCCATTGCACTCCAGCCTGGGCAACAGAGTGAGACTCCATGTTGGGGGAAAAAAAAAGAAAATAAATATATATTTTTTTCCTTCTACAATCTTAGGTTCATTTTCCTTTCTGTCTTAGGTTCATTGTCTAGGGCCCTGTGACAAAAGACAGACCAACATGAGAAAAGCATGCAAATTTATTGGATTTAATCTTTATGTGACATGGTAGACTTAATAAGCAATGTAGACCCAAAGAAGCAGTTAAACCTGAGTGTTTTTATTGTAGGCTTGATACAAATGGAAATAAATAAAATAAGGCAAAGAATGTGAGCTAAGGCTAATATATTGGGGAAATTTAGCGAGACCTTTTTTCAGACTCCTCTGTCCCTTCATCTTCAGGAGCAAGTATACTCTTTTTCTCTAGGTCTAAGGGGGTCACTTCTGTAGTGAGGGTCTTCTTGTACTGACAGCTTTAGGGTAAGGACAGAAAGTCCTTCCTATTAATAGATTTTATGACCTGCTTCAGGGTAAGGTCAAAAAATATTTTCTGCATATGCCATGTCTCAAATTCTTCATCTTAAAATATCCAGTATGTTAAGGTGCTATATTGCAGGTAGTATGTCCTGATCACCATCACTTCATTTTAACTCAACTACCTCTATGAAGAACTTATCTGCAAATAAGGCCACATTCTGAGATAATGAGGAATCTAACATATCTTCCTAAAAGCATAGTGGTTTGAAAACGAATCTACCCGTAACAATATTTTAGTGAGGTTTTTGGACATTAAGGAAATAAACACACTGGAACTCTAGCCAACTCTCCTTTCCCAAAGTTGGCTTCCCAAAGTGCCATACACATAACTGAGAGATGTAGGTAATCATGTTTATCTCAGATTGTTCACAATAGTCAGTTTTAGAATAGAGTTAAGCAGTATCTACATAGTCTGAATAAAATTAAGTGTTAACTTTTCTTTTTAAACAATTTTATTGAAAATGGTTGTACATATTTTTGGTGTACAGATGATATTTTAATACATGTATACAATATGTAATGATCCAATAAGGGTAATTGGAATATTTATCACCTCAAACACATTTTTAATCTGTGTGTATAATTCTTCTCTTCTAGATATTTTGCAAATAGGGTACGTTATCGTTAACAATGATTTTTCTACTGTACTGTCAAATACTGGAACTTGGTTTTTCTATCTAACTGTTTTTTTTGTACTCCTTAGCCATGTTCTCTTCATCACCTCTCCTCCCTTCCTTTCCCAGACTCTGGTGACCACCATTCTACTCTCTGTCTCCCTGAGATCTACTTTTTTTTAGCTCCCACATATGAGTGAGAACATGTGATATTTGTCTTTCTGTGCCTGGCTTATTTTACTAAACATATTGACCTCCAATTTCATTCATGTTGCTGCAAATGACAGGATTTTATTGCTTTGACCATTTGGCTAAGATCAATTCTAGTATCTCTTTCTATCAATTTAATATCTCATATGTCCTCTATCACCTACTTTTCATTTGTTTTTCTTTATTGTGGCAAGGATATATACTCCCCTTGCTTCAAATCTTTTTAAAGCAAATATTTTCTCTGACCCTGCCTAGCTGTGGAACTGTAGAAAATCTACTTAACCTATGTAAGTATTGGTTTCTTCATCTTTACAGAGGATTATTAGTAATGTCCAACTCATAAGGTTTTTGAAAGAACTAAATGAAATGATGTGCATACAGCAAAAGACACATGGCCTGGCATGTAGCCATTATTACCTATCACTGCTGTTGTAACCTTTCTTAAAAATTTTCTTAATAGTAAATAAATCTGCCTATTTATGTATACGTGTATATAATATCTGTAAATATATATAATATTCATATATGCATATGCCTGTATGTGTATATATGTATATATGTGTGTATATATATATATATATATATATATTTGAACCACAGATATTTTGGCCATTGCATATAAATAGTCTCTTTATATTTTTGTTTTCTATTTTATTCCAATAAATCCAACATAGCTAGTTTTAGGAGAACCTGATAGCTTGGCATCTTGCAGAGAACATATATTCAGGATAATGCTCACAGCTTGCTATAAATGCATATCTATGAATACAACCTGATCCAAGCATAAAAAGTGTTTTGCAGAAAAATAAAGAAAATGGAAGGAATAATGGAAAATATAAGTATATTCTAATATGTTTCCAGAAAAAGGGAAATGTGTGCATGAAATACTATTAAACTGAAGGCTGGTATAAGATATGTCAAAATGTATTGTACATTCTCATCTGCAGTTCAAACAGCATTCTATTCTTAGAAATTCCTTTTATTCAAAATGTCTCCTTTTTCCACACAGTTCAGTGAAATCACTTTTCTTTTGTGAAAATAAAATACACTATCTTTGAAAGTACCTTCATGCTATCATTGGTTTTAATTAATTAATAATATTCAAATTAAAATTAAAGTTTGCATCTACCAAACTCCTCTTTCTGTCTTATCAATTTTCTTTACATTTTTCTTCCTGGCTTTTGTATTCCCTTCCACTCGGCTCATCTCCATGCATTTTCTAATGCTTACTAGCTAAATGCCTGTGTACACAGCTGGGCCTTTTAAACTACTCTCTAATTTCTTTTTCTATTTTTTTCTCCTTAATTTTTTCTTTAGTATTTGGAGAAGGTAAATAGGCAAGACAAGGAAGGGAGAAGTTGATTTCTAATATTATTTTTAATCTTAAAAAATTTCTAGTTTATCAACTATATTGCTCTGGCCCGGTTCTATACCTCCTTTATCATGAAGAAAATGGGAATAAACAAACTGCTTGATCTACAAATACATTTTCAACAATCAGGGTATCAAATAAACAGGGTGCTTTGGGTTTCATATTTATCCATCTACAGTATACCACATAAAAGTCATTGCACTCAAGATGATTGAAATACAGAATGCATTACCCAGCAAAGATAAAGGGTAATTAAAAAGCATCAACTCAATTGTATCTACTATGTATCTCTAATTTCTCATCTCCTTCCTCATGCCATCAAGTCAGTGGCAAAATTCCTAGATGATAATTTACATTGTCTAGCCCTGAAATTTTTGAGAAGTCTGGCACCAGCATACTGAATTGCAGACAAACTGCCAAGAGATCAAATGTGTGATGACTTAAAAAAATTAAAAAAGCTTTTTGTAACTATGATTTAGAAATCTAAGCAAGATGGCAAAAAGGAAGTCTAAAAATTGCCATTGAAGGCATTTTTCTCTTGAGATTATATGAGAATTACTTCTGTTGAAATTGAGACATAATTACAAACACTGTTAGCAGAGGGAGCATTGAGCTCTCCCTATATTTGTGGTTTTGAGAGTATATTCCAGATATAACTCCAATTCTGAATGAGATTTGTGCATTAATGCTTACTGATTTTTTTCTTAGTCAATAAAAAGTTAATTTCCATAATAGCTTGAGAATAGTATATCTAAACAAGACATTTATTTAGTTTCTTTCTCATTTGAATTTATTTTCATTTAGCATATACTTATGGCTGCTGGTGTGGAATATTTAAACACCTTCTTCAAATAAGTGACCTAATTAAACTTTTAAAACTCATCTTAATATTTAATCCCTATTTCAAACTTCACTGACAGCTCCATCACAAAACATATATAGTAACTTCTATATAGGAATTATGTTAAAGTGGGAGAATATGTATAATAATAACGGCTCACCTATTCCAAAATCAGCTGTAGGGATCAATCCCCTTTTTGGAACTAGACTGTGAGAGGTGTGAAGAAGCTCTGTAGAAACACTGATATTTTAACCTAATTGTCAAATATCAAAATAGGAGACAAAACCTAGAGGCTTTGTTGGTTGCAGAGGATCACATAACCATGTCTATTTCAATCAACCATGATGGAATCCTTAAGATGGGGTATACAGAACCTCTTTCATTTAAAAAATATCTATAAATATTTATTATTGTCTTTGTATTTTTTTCAAGCCACTTCTGAATATATAGTTTATAAAGACAGAGATCGTGTCTATCTTGTTCTGCCTTTTATCCCTAGTACCTAGCAGAATACTTATGTGTATGGTTATCAGGTAAAGTAAAGAACGCCTAGTTAGATGTTCCTTTGAGACATATTTACCCTAAAATATTATCTGTTGATTATTTGAAATTTAAATTTGACTTGGTGTTCTGTATTTTATTTGCTAAATGTCTAATCCTGTGTGCTGTAAATAAAGAAATGCTTATTTAAAAAGACATTTTGAAGTCCAGAAATTTGTGTTGAACAGAGGGAAGTATAGTAATTTTATAGTAATTTCTACTTAAAACAATATGTGAATTTGTATCTACAAAAATAAGTATCAAGCAATGCAGTTCCAGTTGAACACGTTACTCCAAATTCATTTAAGATTTTCTTATTTTCTGAAATATATTTTCACAATATAGTTGACCCTTGAAAACACAGGTTTGAACTGTATGGGTCCACTTATATGTGGATTTTTAAAAATAAGTATATTGGAAACTTTTTTGGAGATTGATGACAATTTGGAAAAACTTGAAGACAAACTGCATAGCCTAAAATATCAAAAAATTAAGAAAAAGGTATGCATAAAATATATGTCAATGCTAGAATATTTTATCATTTACTACAAAAAATATACATAAATCTCATAAAAAGTTGGAATTTATCAAAACTATGTACATAAACAGACTATATGTGGTGCTATTTGCAGTCAAGAAAAATGTAAGGATGCAATATTAAATCATAACTGCATAATATTAACTATAGTAGCACTGTACTACTATAATAATTTTATAGTCACCTCCTGTTGCTTGTACGGGGAGCTCAAGTGTTGTGAGTATCAGCTTAAAACACAGTGAGGTGTTAATCATTTCCCTGGGAGCAATTCCTCTCCAGTAAATTGTAAATAGCAGTAAAAAGTGATCTTTCATATTTCTTATTTTTTTTTGTAATGTTTAGTACAACACCTCAAACCTTGAATAACCCACAGGACTCCTACAAAGTGTCAAAGTGCTGGAGGTGTTCCCAAGAAGTATAAAACAGTCATGGGAATACACGAAAATGTTCAACTGCTTAATATATACCACCAATTGAGGTCTATAGCTATGATTGCCTGAAATTTTATAAAAAATAAATCCAGCATTAGAATCTTTTTTTTTTTAAAAAAGAAAGGAAATTCGTGAAGCCCTTGCTTGCAGCTACAGCCGCAGGTTTGTTTTGTTTTGTTTTGTTTTGTTCTCTAGCTCCTACTTTATTGTAAGAATATGGTATATAGTACATACAACATACAAGTATATATTAATTGACTGTTTTTGTTATTGCGAGGGCTCCTGATTGACAGTAGGCTATTAGTAATAATAGTTAAGTTTTTGGGAAATCAAAAGTTATAAGTGAATTTTCGACAGCACAAGGGGTCAGCACCCTTGCTACCACGACGTTCAAGGGTCAACTGTATTTTTACATTTTTTGTTTGCGTTTTGCTTTTGTTAAACATTATATGGAAGAAAAACATGAGTATACACAAAAAGCCTTGCACTTTTTGTGAAATACATTTTTATGTTGCATTGAAAATGCAGCATTTATGTGGGTGCAGGATTGCTATACAAATGACATACCTGAAAACCCTAATATGATTTGAAAGAGTGTGAAGTTATGTGACAACTTAAAGCAAAAGGATGGTGAAGGATCTAAAGCTGGAGAATTTAATGCCAGCAAAGGATGGTTTGATAACTTTAGAAAGAGGTTTGCCTATGCTTATTACCCGAGCGACGAAAAAGTCTGTACAGCAAACTCCCATTGACATGCGATTTACTTGTGTAACAAACCTGTATATGTGCTCCTGAACCTAAAGTTAAAGGTTAAAAAAAAAAAAAGTAACAGGAGAAGCAGCTTCTGCCTACCTAAAGGCAGCCAACAAGTTCCCAGATGTCATTAAGAAAATTATTGAGGAGAAAGAATTAATGCAGACAAAAGTGCCGTCCTCTGGGGAAAAAAAAAAAAAATGCCATGAAGGACATTTATTAGTAAGGAAGAGAAATGAAGGACCAGGATTTAAGGCAATAAGGGGTAGGCTAACTCTACAGATTTGTGAAAATGTAGTTGGGTTTGTCATTAGGACTGCCCTTATCTAACCCCTGAGCCTTGAAGGGTAAAGATAAACACCAACTACCAGACTTTTGGTTGTATTACAAGAAGTCATGGACAAGGAGAACATTTTTTTTCTTAATTGGTTCCATTCATGCTTTGTCCCTGAAGTCAGAGAGTATGTTACCAATAAGTAATGACCTTTTAAAGTTCTTTTGGTATTGGACAGTGTCCCTGAACCCCATTAATTCACCACTGAAGGCATCAAAGTGGTCTAATTGTCCCCTAAAACAAAGTTTGCAATTCAGCCTGTAGATCGGGGGTCATATGGAACTTTAAGTCTCATTATATAAAGTATTCAATGGAAATAATTGTCAACACTATGGAAGAGAACCCCCATAGAGATAACATCTTGAATGTTTGAAAGGGTTACACCTTTGAAGACCCCATTGTTATTATTAAGAAGTTATGAAAGTCATCAAGCCTGAAATAATAAATTTTTGCTGGAGAAAACTGTATCCCGATGTTGTAAATAACTTCACAGGATTTACTTCAGAGCCAATCAAGGAAACCATGAATAAGGTTATGGATATGGCAGAAAGGTGACGGGTGAAGCATTTTAAGATATGGATTTTGGAGAAGTTTAAAAGCTAATAAACATCACATCAGCAGTATTAACAAAATATGACTTGATGGAGATGAATGCCTCTGAACCAGTGCTAGACAATGAGGAAAATGATATAGAAGTGCTTGAAAACAAATTAACATTAGACAACCTGTCAAAAGGATTTTGATTATTAAAGGCGGCTTTCGATTTCTTTTATAACATGGATCCTTCTATGATACAAACACAGAAATTAAAGCAAATATTAGAAGAAGGATTTGTACCATATAGCAACATTTTTAGTGAAATGTAAAAGCAAAAAAAATCAGAAATTAGGTAATTTTGTAATTTTGTAAGATTACATGGAATGTGCCTGACTCTCTTGCCTCCCCTACCACCTTTTCTACTTTTCTACCTCTTCTGCCTCTGCCACCCCTGAGACAGCAACACCTACCCCACTTCTTTCTCCTCCTCTTCAGACTACTCTACGTAAGGATGGTGAGGATGAAGACCTTTATCATGATCCACTTCCACTTAATGAATGGTAAATATACTGTCTCTTCCTTATGATTTTCTTTTAAGTTTTCATTTTTTTTAATTTTTATTTTAGGTTCAGGGGTAGCTGTGCAAGTTTGTTACATAGGTAAACTCATCTAATGGGGGTTTGTTGTACAGATTATTTCATTACCCAGGTACTAAGCCTAATACCCAATAGCTATTTTTTCTGCTCTTCTCCCTCCTCCCATCCTCCACTCTCAAAAGGCCCGTGTCTGTTGTTCCCTTCTTTGTTTTTATTAGTTCTCATCATTTAACTCTCACTTTTAAGTGAGAACATGTAGTATGGTTTTCCGTTCTTGCATTAGTTTGCTGAGGATAATGGCCTCCAGTTCCCTCCATGTTCCTGCAAAAGACATGGATCTCTTTCTTTCTTATGGCTGCATAGTATTCCATGATGTATATGTACCACATTTTCCTTATCCAAAAATTATATTGATACTTTAAGAAAAATCACATCCTTTTCTGAAAACAAGAATTAGCTCATCTTCCTAATGTGTGTCCACTGACTTGATATGCCATAGCTTTATGCAAATTAGAGCTCTTGTTGAGGCCTCCAGATGTACATAATTCTAAATCATTTTAAACTGTATGTTTGGAGAATTGCAGTCAATAAGACAATTAATTGAGCAAGGTTGAATGTCTAAGAAGCCATAAATTCTATTACTAATGAATTTAAAACTAAGAGATTATTTTTTGTTTATCACTTTTTTTCTTTTTCTATTTTTCCTTTCTTCTTTTTTTCATTCCACCCTCCTTTTCCTTTTCTTCCATCTTGTATTTTGTACCTAATTGCTCAGGAAGAAACAAACAAACCAACCTGAAAATTCATGGCAAAATCAACCCCTTGAAAACTGAAGAAAACCAGCTTAATGGAAATTTTTTTCAATTACGTTTTACAGTTAAAATGTTTATCTATTGCTTCCCAATGACCCCTGGGGATTTAGACTGGGCAAATAATATCAGAGGCAGACCCATAAGATGGGCCCAACTGTAAATGTTCTTAGTCTTCAATCAGTCCCCATGAGACATTAGGAAATGCTAAATGTTCCATTAGTGGTAGAGAAACTTAGTGTCTTATTGGACACTCTCTGTGCCAAAATCAATAAAAGTGGAGACAAAAAGATCACTGAGGCTCCTCTGCTCTCAAGTAGCTTAATATTAAGTTAGAATATATAAAATATATATAGGAAACAAAAATATGCACTAGAAACTTAGAAAAAACCAAAGTGCTGTAGTTCAAAAGAATGTGTAATGCAGTTTGACTTGGTTATGGAAGATAAGATAACGCCTACTTAAAATTGGGCTTTGAGGATTAGACAGTGTTTATAGGTACACACGTGAAAAATGTTTTAGGTGGAATAGCATAGAAAAAAAGTTTTAAAGAAAATTCGATGACTTTGAACTGAATGTAGGACTTTTTAAAAAATTCATTATGTACTAATCAAACATTTCACTCTTCTTAGCTTTACTGTCTTCATCTCTGGAATAAATTTTCATAGCATCTACCTCACAGAATTTTATGAAAATTAGGTAAAGTAATGAGTAGAAGACACTTAGTATAAGGCATGGCACATAATGAATGCTAATTTTTGAGGGAACTTTTATTAAAGAAAATGCTGGAAACAGGATAAATCTGAGGACTACCTCATAATGAATTTTGATCAGAGCCTTGTGAACAGGTACAAGAAATGTGAAAACAAGTGCTCCACAGTAGGTTGAGACAAGAATATAATTTGAGCTCTTCTGGGAAAAGAAAATTGCCTTTGTGTTTATTAGATTGAGGTGTCTATTTCTTTTCCCATTTCCAGTTATATAATTTTCTTGCTATAGTATCTTATAAAACAAATCCTATTTGTTTTAGTAATCCTCCTTTGAAATTTTTTTTTTAAAAGGAAATACCTTCCTATATGGTGTCTTACTTTAGTGAATGTAAATATGTGCATCCTTTCTCTGGTAAAATTACAATCTTACAATCAAATGCCAGACTGGCCATAAAAACATAACTAATTGTCTAATTGTCATCAGACAAAATACTGATGATTACTAGGTATGCAGATAAGCTTTAATGTGTGGAAGAATATAGCAAAATACTTCATTTAAAACTTCAGGCCAGGCACGGTGACTCACGCCTGTAATCACAGCAGTTTGGGATGCCAAGGTAGGTGGATCACTCGAAGCCAGGAGTTCAAGACCAGCCTGGCCAACACAGCGAAACCCCGTCTCTATAAAAAATACAAAAATTAGCCAGGTTTGGTGGTAGGTGCCTGTAATCTCAGCTACTCGGGAGGCTGAGGCAAGAGAATCACTTGAACCCGGGAGACCGAGGTTGCAGTGAGCAGAGATTGTGCTACTGCACTGCAGCCTGGGTTACAGAGTGAGACTATCTCAATAATAATAATAATAAAATAAAAAATAAAAAAAGGAAACTTCAGCTCATGGAGTGTTGTAAGAATACTATTTACAGCTTGATTTGGTCTCCATAGGCCTTTCAAAATACATGCCTGCTCCAAAACAAATACTCTTTAAAAGTTGTGCATAATTTATTTTATGATCGCCTTTTCCATACTTTTTATTAGAAGTTATGATAGTTTCCCCCTTGCTGTCATGCATTAAATATTATCCACTTTCAGGCACACAGACTCACTTAGACTCACAATTCCCACTCTATTTCTTTCTCAATAAACTATATTTGTTTTAAATTTAATTTTTTTTAATTTTTTATTTTTGAGATGGAGTCTTCTCTGTCACCCAGGCTGGAGTGGCTAGATCTTGCCTCACTGCAACCTCCACCTTCTGGGTTCGAGCGATTCTGCTGCCTCAGCCTGCCAAGAAGCTGGGACAACTTCTTCTGGCTAATTTTTGTATTTTTAGTAGAGATGGGGTTTCACCATGTTGACCAGGCTGGTCTTGAACTCCTAGCCGCAAGTGATTTGCCTGCCTCAGCCTCCCAAAGTGTTGGGATTACAGGCATGAGCCACAGTGCTTGGCCTCAATGAAGTAAATTAAAAGGCAACTATATGGAATTATTTTAGAGAAAGCTTTGAATTTTATCTAACGTTTTAAAAATGTTGAATCAGTTGGTGTTTTGAACACTACTGATAAAAAAACAAACTGCCAGACATCTGATAATTGGTCATTGGGCATAAATTGCTGTTATACTGCAATTTATAATGACATCTTTGAGAAATTTAGCTCAAGAGTCCTGTCGAAGCATTTTGAGAAGATCCAGATCTTTCTGAGGCAGCTTTGCTAAGGTCGAAGATGCTCCATCATTAGGAAATGAATGCTTTTTTACTCCAGTTCCTTAGAACAGTGAATAACTTGGTAAGAAATCAGCCTGTTGTGTAGAGCAGTGGCAATTATAAGTTGTGAATTTCATGTGATACTCAAAATGTTGCTCGCAAAAGCAACCATAGGAAAAGGGAAAATATCAGAAGATTCATCTTAACAGGTTTTTTTTTTCATGTACATTGCAGAAAGGAAGAATAATTGGAAAAGGTAAACTTGAAAATTTGACTATAGACTAAGTAAGACAGGTAATTTATATACCTCAGTTAATAATATATAATGTAAAATCTCTACCAAAACCTGTAACACCATCAGGGTCCCTAGGCTACGTATTCTTATATCTTCTCTTGTAAATTGTAAATGTCAATAAGCATTCGTTGTCCCAACTCCTTTCCCCATCTCAAGTGACCAACAAATATACACAAGGTTAATTTGCTCAAACATCAGAACAACTGTTTTTTTCTTTTAGCCTGAATTATTTTGTGTATAGAGAAAGGACTCCCTGTCCTATTATCTGAATATTGTGATCTTGGCGTTCAGTGTTCCTAAGATAAAAGTATGTTCATAAGCAATTTCACTTTTGCACTAGAATCTCTCCATATCTACACAGAATTATAAACTTTATGAAAGTTTAGCTCTCTTCTCTCTTTCTTCATTCTTCCTGTGGCTTTTACTCCCTCTTTTCATATGTAGCCATATCATGGTATGCCATGTCTTCTATACCATCTTATTTGTGCCTTTTACCTGAACATGTGCTGAACTCTTACTCATCCTTCAAGATCCACCTTAAGCATTTCCTAAACTGTGAAATTTTTCCTCAACCTACCATATGAAGCTAGTTATTCCTTCCTATGTTACAGCCCTGAATCCTATATATATTTTTTTCTATTTAAGTACAGATTATATTCAGTTGAAATTATTTGCTTACTTGCTTATCTTCCTAGATTTTGATACCTGCAGTATTAGAAAGCATATGCCTCATAATTAAATGTTCAATAAAATATGATGAAAAGTAGAAATAAAGGTAAATGAAAACAGAAATTTATATCGGAGAAAGAATGATTGAATTATTTATTAAATTAAGCATTTATTTTTACACAGCAAAGATGATCATATGTGTGACTATGTCCCAGCAGCCACTGTTTAGATTTACTGCAAAAGAAAATGCAATTCAAACTGAAGAGTAATTAAATATATGAAAGTAGATGCAAAGAAAAATTCTGATCTTCTTCAGCAGTTGTGATTTTCAGAGAGATCAGTTCACCAGCCAGTCCACATCTATTAAACTTTATTCTGAAACCTAGGGAATCAAGAAGAACCCATGAACTACAATTATTCTTAAAAAGTAATCTCCATTTTAGAAATCTCATTTCATCAGACTGTAATTCCTATTTTGACCCCCTTTTTGTGGCAGGCTAAACTATCTGTTTATTTGTTTGTGTATTTATTTATTATTCACTCATTTACTTTTTTTTCTGTTTGGGCACTCAACACAAGAAAAGAAGCTCATTTGCCTTCTCAATCTTTTCTGTCTTCTATGGAGGCTTGCTCTTCAGAAATACTAAAATTGCTTTGTAGGGATCTTGTTTGGGACATATAATTGATACATACTGAGAGCACACAAAAGGTCCCTTGTCAAAAGTGGAAGGGTTATTTTGCTAAAAACTTAGTGTAGATATGTAGACTTCTACATGTATTGCTAGGAACCCTGATGGGTGTATAAGAAGATCTTTATGTTGAGGATTCTATGTGTTTATATTCATTTTCATAGGGAAATCAGAAAAAAATTAAGTACTGATATCTGTGATATTTGCTATACACACATTTATAAATCGTATACATGCATTGGTAGCACATGTATATGATTTAGAAATTAACATGTATATGTATATTTAAGATTTGATTTTTTTATAGAGAGGGACATACCAATAAAAACATTTAGATATTCCTATATGCAAGGTTTAGTCACTACTATATATATATATATATATAATATATACACACACACACGTGTGACTAAGACTGTAGTATAAGAATAAAGTCCAGAAAAAGAATCATTCTCATGATCTAGTTATACTTCAAATATTTTATAATGCATATACTATTTAAATTTATATTGTTTTGCCTTGGTATCACTTTATTGCTGTTGTTTCTACTGTTATTTTTATAATGATGATTATACTGGTGATGACGACAATGACAATGATGATGGGAGTTTCTTGGGAATGCTTCTTCCATTTAGTGAAAGAAGTAAAACTGGTATGCTTCTGGACTTTTTTTTTCTGCGATTGATAAATATTGGCTCAGCCATACCATTTTCTTGGGAATGTATCTGCCCAGCAAGATTTCAGATCTCTTGATTCTTACATGCCATAAATTGATGCAAAGATTTCATGGCTAATTCTGGGACTTAAAGGTTCTGGCCCATATATCAATAGAATTAATGTCTTGTCTTCAATACTGTCCTCAATTTGCTTAAAAAAAAGATATTGTTTTTGCTTCATTTTTACCTCCCAGTTGATGGAGTACGGTATATTAGAGGCTCCTCTGAGACTTCAGTAGTGATTATGATATTGATATAAGCTGAGTAAAGTCTCTGATGGGAAGATGGGCACAAAATTTTACCCAAGTTCCTCTTCAGTGAGATTCTGACATAAATTAGGCACACACAAAGGCAGTGAGGACAGAAATTGTTTGACATTCAGTGGCATGAAGAGTCCTAGCCAATTGAGTTTATTTCCTTCTATATTAGATTTCTATTGCTGTAGTAACAAAATAGTACAAACTTAGCGGCGTAAAGCAACATAAATTTACTGTCTTGCCTTTCTGGAGGTAAGAAGTTCTAAAATCTGACCAGGTGTGATGGCTCACACCTGTAATCCCAACACTCTGGGAGGCCAAGGTGAGAATATCGCTTGAGTTCAGGAGTTAGAGACCAGCTTGGACAATATAGGGAGATCGTGTATCTCCAAAAAATAAACATTAGCCAGACATCATGGTGCACACCTGTAATCCCAGCTACTCAGGAGGCTGAGGCAGAAGGATCACTTAAGCCCAGGAGATCGAGGATGCAGTGAGCTATGATCGTGCCACTGCACTCCAGCCTGGGTGACAGAATTGAACCCTGTCAGAAAATGGAGAGGAGAGGAGAGTCTAAAATCAAGGTGTTATCAGGACTATTCCTTCTGGAGGCTCTACAAAAGAATGCATTTCTTTGCCTTTTCCAGCTTCTAGAAGTTATCTAGATTCCTGGTGGACTGCTAGCTTCAAAACTAGTAGTGTAGCTTCTTTAAATCTCCTTTGCTCTCTGACCTCTGCTTTCATCATCACAATTTCTTCTGCTTCTGATCTTTTATTTCCCTCTTTTAAGGAGTCTTGTGATTACATTTGGTCTGTCCAGATAATCCAGGATAATCTCCATATCTTAAGATCTTTAAACTTGATCATATCCATAATTCTTTTTTGCCATGTAGAGCAACATATTTCTAGGTTCCAGGGATCAGGATGTAGACACCTTTGGGGCACTATCATTCTGTCTGCCACACCATTTTTTAATAAGATGATAAAGCCTTTAAGAATTTTTTCTTACAAATTGGTTTAAGGAAAAATGGACATATGTAAAAGAAAAAATGAACCAACATTTAATTTTTAATTTTTTTCATATTCTAACTTTTCATTTGAAATAATTTCACATTGGCAACAGCACTGCAAATATAAAAGATTTCTCATATGTTATTTACTTGACTTCCTTAAATAATTACATTTTACATGAACATATAACATTATCAAAACTAGAAAATTAATGCTCATACAAAAGCATTTATGATAAGACTTATTCATATCCTATTTCTCTACTAATATCCTCTTTCTAGTCCAGTGACATATGGAGTATCCCACATTGTAATTAACAGTCTTGTTTTATAAGCATCTTCTAAGATCCCCAGTATTTCTTTATCTTTTATGACCTTGGTATTTTGAAGAATGTTGGCCAATTAGTTTATAGACTATCTCTTAATTTGGATTTGTCTGACGTTTCCTTATTATTAAAATCAGAAATGACGTGCCCATCTCCATATATTATATCAAAGAGTATATGATATCAACACGTCCTGCTACTGGTGGTGTTCATTTTGATCACGTGGTCAAAGTCATATCTGAACATATCTGTGCTCTAAAATTACCATATCCCCTTTTAAATTAATATGATGTGCAATTGGCAAAATAATCCACATTCCCTAGCAACTAGTAGTCTAAAATAAACAAAAGGTTTACTTTCCCTAGCTTTAAAAAATGTGATTCTACTTTGTATTTTGGAATAATAGCTAATTAATCCATTTTATTATCTAGATAGTTAGGTCTTTACTTATAGACTCTGTTTACAAATGGGGAAACAGTTGTTCAGAATATACTGACATCTGAGATAAAAAGACTGGCTAAAATTGGACAATGAGGTAGAAGGGTATTTAGTAAATAAAGTCTTCTAGAATTTTTTCCTGTAAATTTTTAAATTCAAGTTTATTAATTACACTTTTATATTCATACCATTCTCTTGCCCTCAGCCTTCAAGAACCTGATCAGCTCCTACCCTCTTCATATCCTCACCCTCTGACTCCTAGTAGAGCCAGAACCTGTGTTACATTTTATTATTGTATTTATCTTTAATATTCATATATCATGCTATCCAATACATGGTATGAAATTCTTAAGCAGAATGCACATTTTATAATCCTTTTATCTAATATGCCATGGGTACATTGTAAAGATTCCATAAATATTTATTGATAGGTAAACATTAATGTTGAAAACTCTTCAGCATATAATACAAATATTACTATAATAACATAGGAGAATATAAAAGCTGAATAAGCAAGTATTTGATAAAATTTTATTTATATGCCTGGCAAAATGGTTCTACATAAATATTTGTTTAACAAATTAATAAACAAGCTAAACAGAAGTAAATATGGCAGTAATTCTAAAAATTTTAGCATACTGTAAATTATGTATCTTTAAGAGAGGGACATAATATGTAAGATTTTATAATATTGAGAATATAGAACTGTTCTGAGAGATATTTAATAAAATGCACATCCTGAAATATTTAGGCAAATGTATGAGTAAATTTATTGGAGGCTATTTAAAATCTGAGTAAGTCCCAAGGATAAGATGAATATGACAAACCCTAATAGACCTTGAACCATTGATAATTATTCAGGATAGGGGTGGGACAGGAAGAAAATTAAAGTAGAAAATGTGGATGATATACAAACAGGTATAACCTGGACATTAAGGTATGATTCTTTCCCTCATAGTGTCCTGGTAGATTGAAAAAAAGAGTATAGTTAATCTGACACCCATAAATTTGGCCAGTATTTTCTGCTTCAATATCCTTTCTGATGAGATAACAAAACATACAAGCAATAAATATAAGCTGTTTTTCTCTGTAGCAAAGTGTATGAAAGAGTTTGAAGAATGATCTTTCTTATCAGAAAGAATGATAATTCCTAGATGTGTTAGAAGAACAATTCTTAGGGGAAAAAAAAACGTTCTAGGAAGGCGCAAGTAAGGTAAATCCATTATCAATAGGTTAGTAAATAGAAATGTGCATCTTGGCAGAAAAAGGGAAAGAAAATAAACTGCACAACAATAGATATTGTATTTTTGAGATTTCTGTTTTTAGAAGGCATATCCAGATATCCTGAAAATACACCAAGCTTTATTAACAAAACTCTAAATGGGGAATATGATGTAGGTTAGCAAAGGAAAGACAAGTTATTTCTGGTGATTATTAAAAGAAGGCATAGAGGCACCTCTGTGAATGATCTAGACCTATCGAGGAAATGGAGGCGCATCCGTCTGTGGTGGACCTATGTTTCATCCATATCAGAGTTTCTGATTGTTATCCCTTCAATAGTATCTTTGTGGATACCCCAGAGAAAATTCCCTTTCTTTCTAGGAGAAGAGAGGATGGTAGCCTTTATTACTGAGCATAACTCTTTTATTTTAAGTTCAGGGGTACAAATGCAGGTTTGTTACGTAGGTAAAGTTGTGTCATAGTAGTTTGTTATACAGATCGTTTCATCACCCAGATATTAAGCCTATTAATAGTACCCATTCATTATTTTTCCTGATCCTCTCACTCCTGCTACCCTCGACCCTCCAATAGGTCCCAGTGTTTGTTGTTCCTCTCTATGTTTCCATGTGTTCTCAGCATTTAGCTCCCACTTACAAGTGAGAATATACAGTATTTGGTTTTCTGTTCCTACATTAGTTTGCTGAGGATAATGGCCCTGCAAAGGACATGATCTTGTTCTTTTACATGGCTGCATAATATTTTATGGTGTATATATACCACACTTTCTTTATCCAGTCTACCACTGATGGGCATTTGGGTTAATTTCATGTCTTTGCTATTGTGAATAGTGCTGCAATGAACATACACATGCATGTGTCTTCATAATAGAAAAATTTATATTCCTTTGGGTATATACTCATTAATGGGATTGCTGGGTTGAATGGTATTTCTGTCTTTAGGTCTTTGAAGAATCACCAAGCTGTCTTCCACAATGGTTGAACTAATTTACACTCCCACCAACAGTGTATAAGCGTTTCTTTGTCTCTACAACCTTGCCAGCATTGATTGTTTTCTGACTTATTAATAATAGCCATTCTGACTGTTGTGAGATGGTATCTTATTGTGGTTTTGATTTGCATTTTTCTAATGATCAGTAATGTTGAACCTTTTTTCATATGATTGTTAGCCGCATTCCTTTTGTAATGTGTCTGTTCATATCCTTTGCCTACGTTTTTATGTTTTTTTTTTTTTTGTAAATTTGTTTAAGTAGCTTATAGATGCTGGATATTAGACTTTTGTTGGATACATAGTTTGCAAAAACTTTCTCCCATTCTGTATGTTGTTGGTTTATTCTGTTGATGGTTTCTTTTGCTGTGCAGAAGCACGTTAGTTTAATTATATCCCATTTGTCAATTTTTGCTTTCTTTGCAATTGCTTTTGGCATTTTCGTCATGAAATCTTTGCCCATGCCTATGTTCTGAATGGTATTGCTTACCTTGCCTTCCAGGATTTTTATAGTTTTGGGTTTTACATTTAAGTCTTTAATTTCACTTGAGTTAATTTTTTTACATGGTATAAAAAAAAAGGTTTAGTTTCAAAGCCAGTTCTCCCAGCACCATTTATTGAATAGAAATCTTTTTCCCATTGCTGAGCTTAACCCTAAACAAACCCATGGCACAAAATATGTTATGTATTATACAGGGGAAATCTTAATGTAAAAATGTAAACGTTATAAGTTATCTGTCCATATTTATCTGTTTTTTCACAAAACTACCTTATCCTGAGCAGTGCATAACTATTTTTTTAATTCTTGACTGTTTCTACCTAACATCTGGTGTAGGGAAATTATGATTTGAAGAATAGTGGTGTTAAAAAGAGAACTCTGAAATAGAGAAAAAGATTTAAGACATCCAGAAAATTTTATACTAATATTTGGAGAACAGATGAGTGGAGAGAGAAAACTTTGAGCTCCATAGGGCAGATATATGGCCAATAGGTAGAAACTGAAAATATGTATATAGTTTATTTTTATGCTAAGGTAAAGCTTAATAACAACAAATGATCTCAAAAAATGGCATGATTACTTTAGAACTTGAAGAATGTGGGACTCTATCATTTTCTACCTCTATTTCTTAGTCTCAGAAATTGCCACTTATATTCCAATAAAAACCAAATTACTATATTATAAACCAACTCGACACCATAGACATTCACCAGATTAGACAATTTAACAGGTCTTAACAAAACTTCAATAAATTTAAAAAGAGTTGTAATAATGCAAGTATGTTCTATGACCATAATGGAGTATAATTAGAAATCAATAACTGAAAGACAGTTGAGAAACTCACAAATATTTGGAAATTAAATCAAACACTCCTAAATAGCCAGTGGGTCAAAGAAGAAGTCAAATTAGAAGTTAGGATATATTTCGAGATAAAGAAAAATGAAAGTACAATATACCATAATTTGCATGATACAGCTAAGACAGCTCTTAAGGGAAAATTTTCATCTGGAAATAACTATGTTTTTAAAAATTTAAGAAAAGATTTCAAATCAAGAAAATCACAGGCCTGGCGTGGTGGCTCATGCCTGTAATCCCAGCACTTTGGGAGGCCGAGGCAGGTCAGGAGTTTGAGACCAGCCTGGCCAACGTGGCAAAACCTTGTCTCTACTAAAAATACAAAAATTAGCTGGACATGGTGATGCATGCCTGTAGTCCCAGCTACTCAGTAGGCTGAGGCATGAGAATCACTTGAAGGCAGGAGGTGGAAGTTGCAGTGAGCCAGGATCACACCACTGCCCTTCCCAGCCTGGGAAAGAGAGTGAGACTCTGTCTCAAAAAAAAAAAAAAAAAAGAAAGAAAAGAAAATCACCACTGAAAGCACTGATAAAAGAGAGCAAACTAAACTTAAAGCAAGCAAAATGTATAATAAAGCCTATATTAACAATAATTTGTAATATTAACAGAGATTAATTAAGTAGGAAATGGAAAATAGAGAAAAACAATGACTCCAAAAGTTGGTTATTTGAAAAGACCAACAAAATTAACAAGCCTTTATCTAGACTGATCAAGAAAGAGCGACGACTCAAATTACTAAAACCAAATTGAATGATGGTATATCTCTATTGATCTTACAGAAATTGAAATACATAAAAAAGAATAGGATGCAAAATTGTATGCCAACAAATTACAAAATGCATATGAAATGGACAAGTTCTAGAAAGACATAGCTACCAAAATGGGCTCAAGAGAAAATAGAAAACCCTTAATAAGCCTAGGACAAGTAAATAATTGAATTAGTTGTAAAAACTTTCCCACAAAGAATTATCTGGGTACAGACAGCTTTACTTGTGAATACTACCAAATATGTATATTTATAAATATGTCCATTACAAATTGTGTATATTCACACCCACGTACATTTAAAAACAATTACTCAGAAATTCTTCCAAAAAATAGGGAACACTTCTGAACGTATAAAGCCACTATTAGCCTGATACCAAAGCAAGAAAAACACATCACGAGAAAAGAAAAATGCAGCCCAGTGTCTTCAACCAAATGCTAGCAAACCTAATCCAGTAACATAAAAAAAGTTATATTTGATAACCAAGGTGGATTTTTCCTGCGAATATAAAGTTTAATATGTGAAATCCATTAATATATTACATAATGTCATAGATTGAAGAGCAAAAACACGTGGTCATTTCAATAGAAACAGAAAAGGAAACAAGAACATTAATGAAACGCAACACTACTTCATGATGAAAACACTCAACAAACTAAAAATAGAAGGAAACTCCCTCAACCTGATAATGTGTATGCACAATAAAACCACAGCTGACATTATACTTAATGGAGAAAGACTTAATGCTTTTTATTTAAAACCAAGAAGTCCGGGATGCCCATTTTTATAATTTCTATTCAACATAAAATTGGAAGTTCTAGCCAGGCAAATTATTCAAAAACATGAAATAAAATGCATTCATATAGGAGTGAAAGAATTAAAACCATCTCTCTTTGCAGATGACACTATCTTTTATAAAGAAAATCCTAAGAAAACCACTAAAAAGTATTAAAATAAATATACGAAATCAGGATGCAGGATCCAAAATACAAAATTGTGAGGACGACTGTATAAAAATATATTAGATTTCTATACTCTAGCAAAGAACATTTCAAAAATCTAATTTGAAAAACAATTCAATTTACAGTAGCATCAAAATGATAAAAAAGCCAGGTCTAAATTTAACAAGATAAGTATAAAATTTATTCTCAGAAACTGTAAGACATGGTTGAAACAATTAAAGAAAACTTAAAACAAATAGAAAAATATCTCATATTCATAAATAGAAAAGCAATATTGTTAAGATGGGTTAATACTTACATTTTTCTATAGATTCAATGTGTTACCCATCAAAATACAAGCTGACTTCTTTTTTTTTTCTTTCCAACTTTTTAAGTTCAGGGGGTACATGTGGAGGTTTGTTACATAGGTAAATTGCCTGTTGTGAGGGTCTGCTGTACAGATTATTTTGTCACTGAGGCAATGAACATAGTACCTGATAGGTAGTTTTTCAATCCTCATCCTTCTATCCTCCACCCTCAAGATGGCCCCAGTGTCTATTGTTCCCTTCTTTGTGTATTTCAGTGTTTAGCGCCCACGTTTTTGTTTTCTTTTTGTTTTGTTTTGTTTTGTTTTTTCTTTGAGATGAAGTCTCTCTTTGTCACCCAGGCTGGAGTGCAATGGCACGATCTTGGCTCACTGCAACTTCCACCTCCTGGGTTCAAACAATTCTCCTGCCTCAGCCTCCTGAGTAGCTGGGATTACAGGTGCACACCACCACATCTGGCTAATTTTTGTATTCTTAGTAGAGATGGAGTTTTCCATGTGGGCCAGGCTGGACTCAAACTCCTGATCCAAGTGATCTGCCCACCTCAGCCTCCCAAAGTTCTGGGATTTCAGGTGTGAGCCACTGTACCTGGCCAGTGGCTCCCACTTATAAGTGAGATTAAATGGTATTTGGTTTTCCATTCCTGTGTAAATTTCCATTCCTGTGTAAATTTCCAGCTCCATCCATGTTGTTGCAAAGGATGTGATTTTGTTGTTTTTCATGGCTACATAGTGAATATATACCCCATTTTCTTTATCCACTCCACTATATGGTGGATATATACCCCATTTTCTTTATCCACTCCACTATAGATGTGCAGCTAGGTTGATTTCATGTCTTTGCTATTATAAATATTGCTGTGGTGAATATATGAGTATGCATGTGTCTTTATGAACAATTCACATTCATTTGGGTATATACATGGTGATGGGAATGCCAGTTCTATTTTAGGTTCTTTTGAGAAATTTCCAAACTGCTTTCCACAGTGGCTGAACTGATTTACATTCCCACTAAGAGTGTATAATCATTCCCTTTTCTCTGCAACCTCACCATCTTCTGTTATTTTGACTTTTCAGTAATAGCCATTCTGACTGGTATGAGACAGTATCTCATGGCGGTTTTGACTTGCATTTCTATAATGATCATGATGTTGAGTATTTTTTCATATGCTTGTTTGTCACGTGTATGTATTCTTTTGAGGAGTGTCTGTTCATGTCCTTTGCCCACTTTTTTTAATGTGGTTGTTTGATTTTTGCTTGCTGACTTAAGTTCCTTATAGAATCTGGATATTAAACCTTTGTCAGATGCATAGTTTGCAAATATTTTCTCCCGATCTATAGGTTGTCTGTTTACTGTGTTGATAGTTTCTTTTGTGGTGCAGAAGCCCTTTAGTTTTATTAGGTTTCACTTCTCAATTTTTGTTTTTGTTGCAAGTGCTTTTGGAGTTTTCTTCATGAAGAAGATTGAAATTGGACCCCTTCCTTTCACCACATACAAAAATCAACTCAAGGTGAAGTAAAGACTTAAATGTAAAAGCTAAAACTATAAAATCCCTAGAAGGACACATAAGAATACCACTCTGGAAATTCGCCCAAGCTGACTCCTTTGGACAAATTACAAATTGATGAGAAGATTAATATGAAAATTCAAGGGACCTGAAATAACATAAATAACCTTTAAACTATGGTAAGACACACATATCCCAGTTTTAAAACTTACTACTTAGCTACAATAATCAAAACAGAGTGGTATTGGAAAAAATAAACATGAAGGTCAATGGAATACAACTGAGAGTCCATAAATAAACCCTCATATCAACAGCGATTTGATTTTTTTTTTTTTTTTTTTTTTTTTTTTTTGTGAGACAGAGTCTCGCTCTGTCGCCCAGGCTGGAGTGCAGTGGCGCGATCTCGGCTCACTGAAAGCTCCACCTCCCGGGTTCATGCCATTCTCCTGCCTCAGCCTCCCGAGTACCTGGGACTACAGGCGCCTGTCACCACACCCGGCTAATTTTTTTTATTTTTAGTAGAGACAGGGTTTCACCATGTTAGTCAGGATGGTCTCGATCTCCTGACCTCGTGATCCGCCCGCCTCGGCCTCCCAAAGTGCTGGGATTACAGGTGTGAGCCACTGCGCCCAGCCACAGTGATTTGATTTTTGATGAGAGTGTCAAAGCAATTCAATGAGCAAAAGAATAGTCTTTTCAAGAAATGATTTCAGGGCAACTAGATACCTACATACAAAAGATGAAGTTGGACCCTTACCTCACACTGTACACAAAACTTACCTTAAAATGAATCTAAATATAACAGCAAAAATTGTAAAAAATTAGAAAAAAAAATGAGAAATCTTTATGGCACTTGGGTTGGGCGAAACCTTTTTACATGACAACAAAAGCATGAGTGACACAAAATAGATATATTGACTTGATAAATTAAATAAAGACTTTGTGCTTTAATGGAAAACATTAAGAAAATGAAAAGTACAACTCAGAATAGGATAAATTATTTTTAAGGGTTTGTTTATAGTATATAAAAAACGCTTACACTCGATAATGTAAAGGTACACAGCCAACTTAAAAATGGACAAAGGTTCTGGATAGCTATTTCTTCAAAGAAGATTATTATATAAAAGGTCAGTAAACATTACAAGATGTTCATCATCATCAACCATAATGAAAATGCAAATAAAAAATACAATGGGGTCGGGCGCAGTGGCTCACACCTGTAGTCCCAGCACTTTGGGAGGCCAACTTGGGAGAATCACTGAGGTCAGGAGTTTGAGACCAGCCTGGCCAACATGACAAAACCCCATCTCTACTAAAAATACAAAAATTAGCCAGGTATGTTGGTACACACCTGTAGTCCCAGCAATTTGACTGGTTGAGGCACGAGAATTGCTTGAACCTGGGAGGTGGAGGTTGCGGTTAGCTGAGATTATGCCACTGTTCTCCAGCCTGGACAACAGAGTGAGACTCTGTTTCATAAAAAAAAAAAAAAAATACAGTGGAATACCACTTCACACTCTCTAGGATGTCTAAAATTTTAAAAGCCAGGTAATAACTGTTGGCAAAGATGTGGAGAAATTGAACCTCTCATACATTGCTGGTAGGAAATTAAAATGGCTCATTCATTTTGTAAAAAATCTGGCACTTCTTCAAAATGTTAAATAGACAGTTACTTTATATTCCAGCAATTCCACTTCTAGGCATGTATCTAAGAGAAATAAGGGCATATATCCACACAAAAACTTGTACACAAATGCTTGTTGCACCGTATTCATAATAGCCAAAAGTGAAAACCCAAGTGTCTATCAACTGATGAATGGCTAAATGAAATATAGTAGATCCATACAATGAACTATATTTTGGCAGTAAAAACAAATGAAGTACTCTTACATTCTGTGACATAGATTAACCTTGACAATATTATGTGGGGTGAAAGAAATGAGTCACAAATGACCACATATTAAATGAATCTAACTATATAAAATCTATCTATTTAAAATGTCCAGATTAGGCATGTCTATAGACAAGAAGTAGACTAGTGATTTATTATGGCCAGGGTTGGTGATGACAGTGGGGAGTCATAGGGTGGAAATAAGAAGTGGCCTCTAAAACGGACATAGTTTCCTTTTGGGATGATGAAAAGTTTCTATGATTATGGTGATGGTTGTACAACCCTGTGAATATACTAAAACCATTGAATGTTATACTTTAGGTAAATTGTATGTTATGTGAATTGTATTCCAGTAAAGTTGTTAGACTAAAAAACAATTACTCATGTCCTTCTCAACATACTTCATTCTTTTACCTTGCAAATTTTATTGTTTTCTATTGCCTAAATGCAGTTTTTGGTTAATTCAGTAACTATTTTTGAATGTCCTCTGTGTATCAAGCATTGAAGTAGCTTCTTTAACCTATAGAACTGAACAATTGAGGCAAAAATTGCTGCCCTACAATTACATTTTAGTGAGACTAATAGACCATACACAAGATGCTGTGTAAATATCATGCTAGATAATGAAATAAGCTAAGGAAAAAGTAGCAAATTGGAGGGGGGGAAATTTTAGATAGCATAGCTACTGAAATTCCCATTGAGAAGATGGTGTTTTATTGAAGACTGGAAGGAAATGAGGGAATGAGTCCTGCATTTATCTGGGGGAAGAGAAAAATAGAGGGAACAGCAAGGGCAAAGTTTGTGAAGTCTTGTAAAGAATATTAAGACAGCATTGAGGCTGTAGCACAGAGGGCAAGGGATATGAAATGGTTGATGAATTTTAAAAATGTTGTCAAAATCACTGAGAGCCTTTTGGATTACGATAAGGCATTAAGACTTTTTTTCTGATTGAAATAAGAAAACCTTAGAAGATATTCATTATAAAAGAGATGCCATGTAAATTATATTTTAATATAATTGATCTTATTTTTGCTTTAAGGGTATTCTGTAGCAGGGTAACAGAGAAAGGACAATATCAGTTATGTGCTTTTGTTTTTGATTTTAGTAATAGAAGCATGAGATAGTAATGCTAGCTCAGATTGGTAGTGAACTTGTCATATAGGACATAATATAAATGGTACTCCTGAAATTGTGCCACACAAATGACTCAGTTAACATGAGTCAGGTATAGAGGGTACCAAATTCTAGGTAAATATTCAAGGTAGAACCAACAAAATTTATTGGCAGATTATGGGCAGAGGGATTTGTGAGTGAAAGAGAGGCATAAAAAGATGCATTTAGGTCCAGGCACAGTGGCTCATACCTGTAATCCCAGCACTTTGGGAGGCCAAGGGGGTGGATCACTTGAGGTCACGAGTTTGAAACTAGCCTGGTCAACATGGTGAAACCCCATCTCTACTAAAAATACAAAAAGAATTAGCCTGGCAAGGTAGCGCACGCCTGCAGTCCCAGCTACTCGGGAGGCTGAGGCATGAGAATCGCTTGAACCAGGGAGGTGAAGTTTGAAGTGAGCTGAGATCTCACCACTGCACTTCAGCCTGGGTGAGAGAGAGACTCTATCTCAAAAAGAAAAAAAGATGCATTTAGGTTTTCAGCCTAAGTTTCTGGGAAACAATGAAGTCATTATGTCTGAAACAGGGAAGACTTCAATGGGATTGCATGTGTGTAGAATATCATGAGCTCAGTTTTGAGCAAGATAAGTTACTAAGTTACTCTATTAGGTATCCAGGGGATCTGTATTTGCAATTGATAAATGAAATTTAGGGCAGAGGTCAGATCTGGAGATATAAATTTTGAGCACATCAGAATTATGCTATTTAAAGCCATGAGGCTATATGAGAATACACTGCTTTTATTTTTTACTTCTCACCTAATTCATCACCTACTCTATTAAACTTTCTCTGTACCTCCAAACTATGTTAGATTCCCCTTCTATGCATTTTCCTAGTAACCAGTAAAGTATATTCCAATGCCCTAGTATTTTAATATACTAAATGTATATGTGGTGGGAGCGCCCCCCCAACCCCCGATATAATACTCTAAGGTGGGTTTTATTTTTCTATAGTTTATCAAAGAATAGCATATTAATAAATATGTATAGAATAAATGAATGAAATAATTTTGAAGCAACCTGCAAGGTCTAAGATAACAGGGTGACTAATACATATTTTGTAGTTAGTATAATGGTTTCCCCTGTGAGATTATGACTATCTTAACACTGAAAGCATCTAAAAAATATGTAAAATATTTAATTGACATTTAGGATCTTGTGGAGGGGAATCCTATGCATGATGATCTGGACCTCTGAGAACTCTGGCAACCTTAGCATCTTAACTTTTATGAATCAAATTAATGTATTAGTGGGGAAAGGAAATGAACAAATAATACAGAGGTAGATGACTCATTAAAGAAAAGGAGGTGTTAGCATGTTACTTTCATAGCCAGTTTTCTTCCTAATATATCTATAATACGTTATTACCTTGGAATATTCCTAATTCCGTTACTCAGTCAAATCCTCAAGAATTTAAAGATGCTTAGTTATGCACAGACAGTTCACAAAAAACCTGATACTATATTAATTAACAGTGAGAAACATCACTGTTAAGTAAGTCTGAACAGCTTTCTCTGCTGGCTAGCTACAAGGAGAATGAATTAAAAAACATTTTTTGGAATGGAAAAATAACTCACTACAAAAGGAAATAGAGGTTTGTCATTTGACTGTTTCAAGGCTTCCTCAGGCATGGATGTTGTGATGGCCAGTCCTCTCAAACACCTGCCCTTTGATGTGTCACGAACTTTTAACGTGGTGGCTGTCAATTTTGTATCCTCCATTTCTTACTAACATTACTCTGATTAACTATCTTTTAAAGATATATAATAACTTCAATTTAATCTTGTTATTCTTATGAAACATCTATTTTGCAGTGTCTTTCTCTGTCTCTTTTCTGATCAATTGTGTGCTGATTTTACAGTTTAACTCAGGGAGGAATGAGTTAAAGCGGCAAGTCTACATCCATTTATGCTCCTTACTTAGGGAACAGTACTGGGGCAGAAATACAAGGCAAAGGCAGGGAACCATGTGTAATATTTTCTGATGGACCTCTGCATAAACAGAAAGGAGAGACTTCACCTCTGAAATGTCCTCAACACATGCCCTGGCGGAGGATCCTCTGCGGTGAAGAGAGCGTAGGGTGTATGAGGCATGGCGCTCTGGAAAATGTCACAGACGATGTACGGCTCTCTGGAATAAAGAATGGAATTGTTTTAAGAAGTTAAATGCTCTCTACTATATAAGAATATCTGAAAACCTCATCCAGAGTCCTCATCTGTCTGGGCCAGAGGTGCATGCTCAACATGTGAAACAAGAACCTGGGGAACAACCCTCAATGTCAATGGCACAGACATGTTTCTGTGTCTTCTGAGCTTCTGATTTCCTGTATGCTTGAAATTATTTCATAAAACTTGTCGATGGGTATGCTCTCTGATTCATGTGAAACTGATTTGACAATATAACCCCATGAGTTGGAACAAACTCAAGAAGAAATATCTTATTTCTTTCATTTCTTAATATCTAGGGGAGAAAAAAAGGGAATCACGTTTTTATCCCCATGATGTAATAACTGTAAGAATTATCTCATACCTATAAAGAATTCAAATAATGGAATGGTGCTAATAATTCTATGGCTAATGCAAATAATTTCAAATAAATCTAAATAGTCAAGTAATCAAACAAATGGGGAGAGTATTTTGATGCTTATAGCACTAACCCGATTGTTTCCAGTAAAAAGCATTCTTTGAAATCTTGTATGTTTGAGCACCAACTCAATAATATTTGTAAGAATATGATTTTACTTACCTATAAGGGAGTGAATTATTGGATGATACAGCAGGAAACATTAAATGATACAGCTAATTCACAGCACAGAAATCAACACCCTTAGAAGTTAGGTACCTTGTCCATTATCACACAACTATTAGCTCTAGAGACAGAACTATATCGCACATTTTGACTTTCCTTTTACTGTTATTTCCACTGTCTCAAAGTATAAAACACTGAATTTATGTTTTAAGACCTCATCTTTGTTAAGGGTGAATTTATAAGAAAAATGTAATATATGTTAAAACCTTTTCTAATTTTGTTTTGTTTTCATTTTCCTTTTTTCTCTTCTCTTTTTTCTTTGAGAAACAGTGCTTCATTGAGTCTCACATCCCTTTAGGAATATTATTGTGTGATTTGTTTCTAGAATCCCTAATATATTTAGTCAGTCTTCTAGGCCTGAGCAATTTTCTCAAACAGTGTAATTAATTTGTAAGAAGATGCCAGCCAACTGTAAAGTTTACAATTTGAAATTGCAATTGAGAAACTTGTTAAAATATAAGATTTGTTATTAAAGTAAATATGATAACAATAACAACAAAAGTAAATGAAATCTAACATGTACATAAAGTACAGCTATGTTATTAGGGAAATTAATGTTGTGTCAAAAACTTTCTATATAAGATTTTTCAGGGTGATCATAAGTTAAACATAAAACGATTAATTCTGACATATATGGTTGATGGTAATAAGAAAACATGGATGTTTTACATGGATGCATAGAATAGAGATTATCTCCCTAAAATATTTTATTTTCCATTTTTCATTATCAAAGAAGGTTTCTTGAATATGCTTACGTATCTGTAGTAAGCTGTTATATATAAATATATTTAGGAGGCTTATATATGTTGATAAATTGAATTTTAACATAATCTTATATTTATTTTCCTAATGAGCCGCTCATTTCTATATTTCAGTATATGATCTTATAAATTTATATTCAAACAAAATCATATAGTGTAAGCTTAGTATGTATGCAAGAAGCCAAACATATTTAAATATCTTCACAGAGAATATGAATATACCTTTAGAGTAACAAATTTTGCTCCCAAATCTAGCATATATTTAGCAAACAACTTGTGTCCAGACAACAAGCCCTATCATTCAAAATTAAAAAGACAAATAGCTCCCCTAATAATGTGAAAAGTCTGAAAAGCTACCTAACAAAAAGTGTTATAACTTAATCAGAGTATGGTTTACATTAATGTATACCTTTGTCAAGACATTAAATTTTATAGTTAAGATCTATGTACTTAATTAAATATAGGTTATATGTACCTAATTAAATGTAGGTTGTACATCACACTTATGAATACTTGTTTATGTTTTGTCTTCTAAGCTAGATTGTATTTTAATGAAGGCCAGGCTTAGGATGATATGTTGTACACAGTGCAAAAAATGTTTCTTGAATGAATGGGTGGAGAGTGGAGGATAGACAAAACTTGAATTTTAGGGACAGTGAGGAGTTGACTATGGCATATATTTTTAGTCTGGAAAAAAATTGATGGATATTGAAGTCACACTCAAATGCATTTTTGGGGGGATATCGTAGAGGAAAATCTAGTTAGTTGGAAGAAATGAGTATAGTTTTTAAAATGATTGAATTTTCATCCAAACATGGTGGCTCATGTCTGTAATCTCAGAACTTTAGGAGGCCAAGGCAGGTGGATCACCTGAGGTCAGGAGTTTGAGATCATCTTGGGCAACATAGTGTAACCCCGTCTTTACAAAAAAATACAAAAATTAGCCAGATGTGATGGTGCATGCCTGTAGTCCCAGCTTCTGGAAATGCTGATGCAGGAGGATCGCTTGAGCCCAGGAGGTTGAGGCTGAAGTGAGCTGTGTTCCTGCCATTGCACTCCAGCCTGGGAGACAGAGTGAGACCCTGTCTCAAAATACAAAAGAATTAAAAAAATTATTGAGTTTGGACTAATGGTATGACATAGCATCTATAAGATTCTACAAAACATCAGTGAGTTCATTTCCATTATTTCTTCGGTAATAAACAAGAGAGTAAGCAAATATCTTAACCTAGCTTGGTCATTCAGTCTATTAGCAAAGGTATTTGCTTAGAGACGTGACCTAGGACATATCTGCCAAACATGAGGCATAAATGTAACATCATTTTCCTTATTCAAATGCAATTTTGACAAAGAATTACTAAAAATATAGACTAACAAGCCAAGGACATTATGATCTCACTGAAAAGGGGGTACTGATGAAAATATATAAAATATTTCTCTTAAAATATAATCAATGTACAAAATTTTCAAAAAGTAAAATGTGTACTCTAGTATAAGTTCATTAAAATTAATAAACATTTACTGATTATCCATTATTCTTTCAGCTAATGTTTCTTGTTACCTAATAATTGACAGAAATGATACTATATGCTGAATAATATATATCTATTTATCACCTGTTGGCATTAATCTATTATTCATTCTACTCAAATGATAGACCTAAGAATGAGAGATGAAATTCTCATTTAAGACTTTTGGTAAATAGAAACAAGAAGCTATTATCTTTCTGGACAAGAACAAAGGAGCGTGTTCCTCAAGCTGCTACTGGCAGCCAATTTGTGACTCTACAGAGAACTAATATTATTACAAAACCAACCCACTGAAAGTGTCAGAAAGGAGCACCAGACAGAATATGGCTTTTTGATGCTGCTATTAATCCACAGAATCAACCGCCAACACTTGAATGTATCTTCTTATGGAATTAAAATTCTGCGAGGTAGTAACTTTCTCTATTAGTAGTAAGCATGTCAGACTTCCTGCTACTTGTAGCCCAACACACTCTAATCCATTTAACCTGTTGTTTCTCTTACTAAAAAGGAAATAAATATTCCTTCTTTAATGATGACACAATGACATAATGGTACTGTAGAAGAGAACAGGCACCCCTGAGATTTTTACATCTACTCATAATCTTGTTGTGATACCTCCTCAAGTTGTCAGAGCTCAGTTACCTACCTTACAGACTTGTCTCTCAGAGAGATCGTCGTCTAATAAACAGGCAAAGACACAATCTTGAATCGGAAGATGGAATATATGACCAGGGTTCCATACCTTTTAGCTAAATCTTCTAAGCTTTGACTTTCACTGATTACTCACATCTGCTTCTAAGACTTGATTTGATTTCTTCAAATCCAACTTTGATTTAATAACCCACTTAAACCCATTCACATTAGAAATCTTACTCTTCCTGACCCCCAATTTTTGCATACTTACCCGCACATTGCTTTGTACGGTTCCCAAATATGACCACATCAACTCCATTTCTTCCATATCAAACATATTTTTCCGGGTCCTCAGTCAACCATATTTTTAATCTTGAAACTCCTCTATATCTGTACATATTTCTGTAGAGATTCCTTCATCTTCTTGCTGTAAATGAAATATGTCTGCCCCTTAGAACAAAAATGTTCTGCCCCCCTCACAATCCAAGAGTATCTCTACCCACCTCTCATTATATAACCTTATTCCTTGAGGTCTGACGTTAAAGAATGCATCATTTTTATACATTTTAAGGCAAATTTTTCTCTTTATTCCTTAAAAACTCTAAGCTCCTTCCAGCATATTTTGTCAAATTCTATGCATTTCATTTTATGAGTCATCTTTCCTGGAAACAAGTAAAAATTAGAAAGTAAACAAAACATTAAAGTCTCTCAAAGCCTTACACACAAAAATACTAAAATAAATACATATTGTTTTAACCTGTGTTTTTCACCTAACACTCTCCACTTTTCTGTTATATTAAATGAAATTTTAAAATTTCATCAAGTTTCCCCAAAAATTTTCTTTACAATTTATCTAAGCCAGGATTCAATCTGGGACCAATATTATACTTTTTTATTTATTCTGCTTTATTTTTATGTGTTACCTGTATGTATTTGGTTTTGTTTATTTGCTTTTCCAACTCACACAAACCTTTTAAGATTTACCTTTGGTTTTAATTTTCTGAAATTTCGTGACCATATGAGTAGGTAGAAGTATTTCCCAAACTGGCTCTAATTCATCTGGAAATATTTCATGTACTACTTTAGTTACAGGAGAAATTTCCAATTTGTTTATGCATATTGCTCACCTTTTCAACTAGATTTTATGTCATATTAATTCCATACCTTTTAAAGTCTCTCTCTCTCTCTGATAGTTCCAACTTCTTGGTCATCTGTGATTCTGCTGGTTGCACTGTGTTTTGAAAATGTTTTTTTTTTCCTCCTTCCTGGTTTGTGTGTGTGTGTGTTTTTGCGTGTGTGTGCACACTTAATTTTATTGAATATTGAATATCTCGTGTAGGCTTTGAGAGATGAGGTAAATACTATTTAACCCTGGATATAAAAATACCTCTTTTCAGGCATTTAGGATAAAGATTGACTGAATCTTATCAGGAGTTGAGCTGGGTTTGAATTTGTTGCTTCTGAGTGTCTTCAGTGTATCACAGGCTTCAAATTTCTCTAAAGATTCCTTGTAGTTATGATGGTGCTGAGATATTGAAGGATTTTTCTTAATATTAAAGTTCTACCCTCATCTTTGAGCCATCCCTATAGCTTTGCAGCATAGAGGATTTTCCATTTGTGGCCTTTTCTCACCTCCAGATATACACAGCTGTTGCTCATTATTAAGGGTTCCTATTTTTTCCAAGTCTCTTTATGTTAGCCTTAACTTTAGGGAGTCCATGAATGACTAGCCTCAGGGTTTGGGATTTTCTTGGCATTTGTGCTGCTCCTAAATAGGTAGCCAAATTCTGTCTTGTATCTCTGCTGGAGTTTCTGTGGGAATTTCTTGTCCCTCTTCCAGTAGTAGGCAAATTCTAATTTTATTGGTGTAGAATTATGGGCTCAGGATTGTTTTCTACACCTCACACCAGAAATGATTGAGGACTTTTTCATCTGTTCGTTCCTCCAGAAATAACGAGTCATTGCCTTTGCCCTGGAGCCAACAGCATTTGCTCACCCTTCTCTAGAGACACATGGCTTTTAAAAGAACAATCAAGATAGGGTCAGTCTTCTATTCCTTCCCAAACACCAGCAGGCTGTTCCTCCTCCATATCTGCACTGTGTAGGCAGTCTCTCTCCAGTTTTTTGCCCTGTCCTCAACCTTTCCTGAGCAGCTAGCGGAGGTCTATAGAAAACGTAGGGGTAGACTCCCTTTTGTATGAAACTCGCATAATTTTTATACTAATATGCTGGACCATGTTAGTAAATGATGTCATTTATTGAGTCCTAAATAATTTATTTATTGTATGCTATTAATATATTTAGGACTGTATCAGAAAGTAAAGGTGTATGACTGAAAAAATAGAAATTTCAAGTCATACCACTGGAAATGACCAAAGATGACTTATTTAATATCTACAGGATTATTGTCCAAAAATATTAATATAATAGTTGTTAGACCAAAAAGGGGTTAATATAGTTGCATATTTTTAAATATTTATAAACAAACATTTTTTAAAAACTATCAATTTAAACAAAGTTAAATAAGTTTCTTCATCTCATAATCTTAATGTTTAATGTTCCCTGAGAAGTACCATATATACTATGGGCAGTGTTTGTCAAAATTATTTGGCTACAGTATTCTTAATTTCCAGAGTACCTCAAGAGAATAGCATTCCACAGAATAGTTGAATATTCATGGAGAGATGATAATTAGTCTAAGCCCTTATATTAACATGTGCATATTGAAGACCTGAAAGTGGGGTTCACTGATGAACTGTTACGTTACAATATATAAAATGATTACATATATTAAATCTAATCTCTTTAAGTTTGCATAGCATTTTCCAGTCCACAGAAGAATATCCCATCATTTACTACTAAATTTATAAACACGTAAAATATATTATTATTTTTCCATTATAATAACAAAATAGTTCCGATAAGGTCAAGGGACTTATCCAAGATGCAAATTCTAACAAATAGCAAAAGTGCCAGGACTTGAAATTACACCTTCTTATTGATTGTTTCTATTACAATGGATAGCTTTTACTCAGGTCCAAAAAAAAAAAAAAAAAAAGAAAAGAAAATAGAAAAATAAAACAGAGGCAAGAAAGAAAGTTATATGAGAAAAAAGAGATTTGTATAACCCAAAATGGTTTGACGAGCGTTCATTGAAGTTGTAACTTGGGCTTGTATAACTGAGTTGTATTTGGACAGGTAGAAATCATTTTTTTTTGTTTTTTCTTTTTTGAGATGGAGTCTCACTCTGCCGCCAGGCTGCAGTGCAGTGGCGCGATCTCGGCTCACTGCAGCCTTTGCCTCCCAGGTTCAACTGATTCTTCTGCCTCAGCCTCCCAAGTAGCTGGGACTACAGGCACCTGCCAGCATGCCTGGCTAATTTTCGTATTTTTAGTAGAGACAGAGTTTTACCATGTTGGCCAGGATGGTCTCAATCTCTTGACCTTGTGATCCACCCACCTCGGCCTCCCAAAGTGCTGGGATTACAGGCGTGAGCCACCGCACCCGGCCAATCAATGTGTTTTATGCAGAGAGCATAGTATACACAGAGATATGGAAATAAAAACAGATTAGCAAAAATGGAAGAAAGTGAGGTGTTCACCCTAGATAGAATAAAAAAAAGTGCCTAGGCTCAATGAGAGATAAATTTGGATAGACCAAGAGGACTTATGTTAAAAGATACCTAAATAGTACTAAACATTATTTTTTACAAGCAAAGGTGGTGCAGGGAGAACAGTGTTTTTTTTTTAATGTTAATGTTGAATATAAAGTTTAAAATAACATTTAAAATAACAAATGTAGTAGTTAGACTAAGAATTACATTGCAAATTTAATTCCTTAATGGAACTTCAAAAATAATATATTTGCCACTCCTTGTGGGTAGAACTTGGTCTCTGCCCAAAGCCCCTTGATTTCCGTAAAAACACATTTGTGCAAGATCCATTCTTATGGTATTGAGTAATACAAGTATGAATAGAAAACTTTTCTTCACTTAGAAGAAAAACACTTCATCTCTGTTTTTCTTTGGTATAATTAAAAAACAGCTAAAGCTATACAACTCCGAAGTTGGCAGGATTGCAGTTTTTATTGTGGAAGGAAAATTATACCATATTTGAGGAAAACTGGTTAACTGTTTTTGAGATGTGAAAGATTTAAATTATGCATTTGAATATATTTAAGGAATATTGCTTATTTGCCTTCAATGGGCACCTCAACTAGAGCCCTTTGAGTTAAGAAGGCATTAGCTCAAAATTCATGAATGTAGATAGTTTTACTGCAATATGTTTACATCTAAAGTTAAGATGAAATCTGTATATGTAAATTTGCAGCATCAAAGGGAGAAATTATCAACTGAATGAATTACAGATTTTTTCTTTTTTTTCTGTTTTTAGATTACCAATAAAATATACTTACATAGAATATTTTCACCCCAAAACTTTCGGTGTGCTTCACCTTCACTGAGATAATATTTATATGATGCTGTGTTTTGAAGAGGGATTTGTGGATGTATGAACAGATGTTGGCTATAGTTTTCTATATGGCACTATAATTACCCTTACCAAATATTTCTTTCAGGTGTTTTTGTATGATTTATTTTTCAAAAGAAAAGTTTCAGAAGTCTCTTGCTAATACACCTTACATTGAACTTAGCAATGATTATATTTATTCAGCACCCTTAGAGCCAGTCATTTTGTGGTTAAGTAATTCAAGGTTTATTAAGCATAAGTAACTTACTCAAGGTAATGAAGATAGAAAGAATACAACCCAAGATGCAAATATTCTTCTGTGTGATCCTAATGTACAGGCTTTCCTCATGACCTCAGTCTCACTGCATAAAAAGAAATACAATATGACCTTGTCTTTTATGGACATTAGAATTTTTGGGGTATAAAAAAGATGTGTAAAAATATGCACTACAAATTAGAATATATTTAAATACTGAATTGGGTGGTATAGATATGAAATGATATAAATATTTTAATGAGGGACATAAACAAGGGCTGGAGTCCAATAGAGTTGGTGAGACTTGGCCAATTGCACAACATTTGCATAAAATTGGGAAAAGCATAGAAAACATCATAGTCCTCATACTTCTATTTCCCCAAGTATGTTCCACAGAGATAATTGCCATCTTATTTCCTTCCCAGATCCTGCATAATCTTAACTGATTATATGGCCCAGATTGACTCTTTCTTATCTATTCCCCTAGTTTTAACAGGAGTGGCTCCTTGTTAGCAATGTCCATGTCTTGGTGTGGCCCTGTTGATTCCTTATTTTTGCCACAGCAATTGTATGTTTGTGTATATGTGAGTATAATATCTCCAAACGACTAAATCTTTTTGAGCACAAGGCCTATTCCATCTTCAAAAAATCTTTGTATACTTAAAAACTAGCACAGAGCACAGTTCATGATATTTAGTCAACAAAAGCCCAAATAGATGTCTGGGTAATGAGTTAGAAACATATCACTGAACTTCTGACTTCTGCTCTGGGAAGTGGAGAACAAAAAATAGGTTGTTTGTGGTTTTGTTTTTGTTTTTGTTTTTTAAAATTAATCCAAAGAAACCAAGACTCACATGAACTTTATAACTTATTTGAATCTACTAAAGAATTGTGGACAAATACCCTTGATCTGGCCCAAAGTCTAAGAAGAGACAGGTAACTGCGTGGGGAAAGAAGACATAAGCACTCACTTGCCTGCTATAGATAAAACTAGATATAAGAAAAATAGAGTTCAGCTAGAATAGTTTATTAGTTGGTGAAGGCCAAGTGCAGACTGGCAAGGCAATGTGAATGAAGCAAGATATTCACAACAGGCATGTGAAAAACTTAGTGCACTGAGGGTTATCAGCAATAAAATTTCTCAGACTTAACTTAAATTCCAGCTAGAATAACAAAGCTTCTCATTTAAGGCCCATCAAAAGGAAAAGATATATCTATGTCCAAATATTAAAACTACTTACCTCAGTCTCTACTTACAGGATGAAATATAAGAAATACAACCAACTTTTCATCAGAAACCATGCCAGCTAAAGACAATGAAGTGCCATCTTTAGAGTGCTAAGAAAAACCAGTAGCCACAAAAACAATAACAGCAACAACAGCTGTCTACCCAGAATTCTATACACAGCAAAATTATTTTTCCTAAATGAAGGGAGCTGTAAAAATTAATTACTAGCATACCTAATCTATAAGATTAGGAATTTAATTAAACATATTTGTTACTCATATAACAAAACTATTGGTAAGCCAATTAGTGAAGCAATTCAAAGTTTAGCAATAAAACTGCTACTATTTCAGTTCTGAAGGGACAAAAGGAGAAGCTTATGACACAAGAATGAAGAAGCTATGCTTTTTAGTAAAAGAACTCTGGATGGAGGGGGTGTCAGTTACATCTGGATTCTCAGAGAAGCCACAACAATACCTAGAGATCTTTCCTGAAATAATGGCCCTGTATCAGTCAGCTTGGGCTTCCATCACAAAATACCATTGACTAGTGGTTTAAACAACAGTTATTGATTTCTCACAGTTCTGAAAGCTGGGAAGTCCAAGATCAAGGTTACTGGCTAATTCCATTCCTTGACAAAAACTGTTTTCCTGGCTTGAAGACAGCTGTGTTTTTATTGTGTTCTTTTATAACAGATGAAGAGAGCACTCTGTCTCTTTGTCTCTTCACAAGGGCACTAACAACATTATGGTGGCCACACACTTATGACCTCATCTAAACCTAATTACCTCCTGAAGGCCACACCTCCAAGTACCAATACTTCTGTGGTTAGGGCTTGAATATGTGAATTTTATGAGGGACACATTCAATCCATAACAGGGACCTTATAGGAATTCCATTGGCCAAATCAGTCTGGAAAACAATAGGCAAATGATTGTAGAAATATAGACTTCTGAGTCCTGCTTCTTTGACATAGAGAATAAAGAAAAACTGAGGAATATATCTGAGAGAAGAGAGACAAATTATCTCTTCAGTTCCTGTATTAAGTCATTCTTGCATTGCTACAAAGAAATACCTGAGACTGGGTAATTTATAGAGAAAAGAGGTTTAATTAGCTCACGGTTTTGTAGGCTTTACAGGAAGCATGGTACCAGCATATGCCTGGCTTCTGGGGAGGCCTCAGGAATCTCACAATCATGGTGGAAGGGGAAGGGGAGCAGGCATATCACATGACCAGTGCAAGAGCAATAGAGACAGTGTGTGTGTTGGGGAGGTACCACACATTTTAAATGAGCAGATCTCACAAGAATTCGCCATCTCTGAAGACAGCACCAAGCCATGAGTGATCTGCCCCCATGATCAAAACGTTTCCCATTTGGCCCCTAATCCAGCATGGAGATTATAATTCAATATGAGATTTGGGCAGGGACAAATATTCAAACTATATCATTTCCCCCTTGGCCTCTCCCAAATCTCCCTCCTCACATTTCAAAATACAATCATGCTTTCTTAAAAGTCTTCCAATGTCTTAACTCGGTCCAGCATTAAATGTCCAAAGTCTCATCTGAAACAACACAAATCCATTCTACTTATGAGCCTATAAAATTGGAAACAAGTTAGTTACTTTCAGGATCCAATGGGGTTATAGACATTAGGTAAACATTCTGTTCCAAAGGGAGAAATTGGCAAAAAGAAAGGGGCTATAGGCCCCATGCAAGTTTGAAACTCAGTAGGGAAGTCATTAAATTGTAAAGCTCCAAAATAATCTCATTTGACTCCATGTCCCACATCCAGGACACACTGATGCTTGTGGTAGGCTTCCAAGGCCTTGGGAAACTCCACCTCTGTGATTTTGCAGGGTACAGCCCTCATGGCTGCTCTTACAGGTTGTTGAATGACTGTCCTTTCTAGATGCAAGGTGTAAGCTGCTGGTGGATCTACCATTCTCAGGTCTGGAGGGTGGTAATCCCCTTCTCATAGCTCCAAAAGGCAGTGCCACAGTGCCATGTGGGGGCAGGCTCCAACTCCACCTTTCCTCTTGACACTGCCCTACTAGGGCTTCTCTGCAGGGGCTCCACCTCTGCAGCAGGCTTCTGCCTGGACACCCAAGCTTTTCTGTATATCCTCTGAAATCTAGCTGGAGGCTGCCAAGACTCATTCATTCTTGTACTCTGTGCACCTGCAGGCTTAACACCATGTGGAAGCTGCCAACGCTTATGCCTTATACGATCTAAAGCAGTAGTCTGAGTTGTACTTGAGGTCCTCTGAACTGAGGCTGGAGTGGCCTGGATGAGGGAAGCAGTGCCGTGAGGCTACACAGGGCAGCAGGGCCCTCGGCCAGGCCCATGAAACCATTCTTCCCTCCTAGATCTTTGGGCCTGTGATGGGAGGGACTGCTGCAAATGTCTCTGAAATGTCTTTGAGGCCTTTTTTCCCATTGTCTTGGATATTAGCCTTGAATCCCTTTCAGTTATGCAAACATCTCTAGTAAGTGGTTGTTCCACAGCCCACTTGAATTCCTCCCCCTAAAAAGCTTTTTCTTTCTTGACACTTTGCTAGGCTGCAAATTTTTGAAACATAAATGCTGGGCTTTCCTTTTAAATATTAGTTACAATTTTAAGTTATTCTTTTGCCCCTCCATCTGAGGATAGGCTATTAGAAGCAGCCAGAACACATGTTGAATGCTTTGATGCTTACAAGTTTTTTCACCAGACACTCTAAATTATCATTATGAAGCTCCAACTTTCACAGATTCCAAGGGCATGGACAGAATGCTGCCAAACTTTTTGGTAAGGCATGACATGCATGATCATTGTTCCAGGTCCCAGTAAGTTTCTCATTTCCATCTGAGACGTCATCAACCTGGACTTCACTGTACATATCACTATCAGTATTTTGGTCACAATCTTTTAAACAGTCTCTAAGAAGTTCTAAACTCTTCTTATCTTCCTGTCTTCTTATAAATCCTCCAAATACTTCCAGTTTCTCCCTATTACCCAGTTCCAAAGCCACTTTTACATTTTCAGGTATCTGTATAGCAACACCCACTCTTGGTACCGATTTTCTGGATTAGGCAGTTCTCACATTGCTATAAAGAAGTACCTGAGACTGGGTAATGTATAAAGAAAAGAGTTTTAATTGACTCACACTTCTGCAGGCTTTACCAGAAGCAAGGTGTTGGCATCTACTCAGATTCCGGGGAAGCCTCAGAAAGGTTACAATCATGGCAGAAGGCAAAGGGGGAACGAGCATATGACATGGCCTGAGCAGGATCAAGAAAGAGTGAGGAGAGGAGGAGGTGCTGTACACTTTTAAATGATCAGATCTCACAAGAACTCACTATCATGAAGACTGCACAAGCCAAAGGGGATCTGCTCCCCTTGACCCAAACACTTCTCACCAGGCCTCACTTCCAACATTGGGGATTAACATTCAGCATGAGATTTGGGTGGGACAAATATTCAAACTATATCAATTTCCATATTTAAAATTCCTGCATCCATTTCACCATTATACTGTATTTAACACCCATACAAAATAGTATATCTCTGTTTAATATGGCACAAATGTATTTCATAAAACACTAATACTCTTCCTCTCTCCCCAGATTCTCATTACTGATTTCATTAAGTCTAATAGTTCAGGATGTTCAGGCAATATGAAAGCTTCCCCATCAAATCCAGATGGGCTTATTGTGGTTTTATGACCTATAGACTAATTTGTAAATTTAAACATTGATACACCTCATATAGAAGAGCAGGGCAAAAGGGAGTAGAGAGATATAGTAGTTAATATATATAGGTTAATATATACATATATAATCTTTCTAATACACACATTTAATGCCACTAAATTCTTCATTTCTATATATAGCTTTAAGGCTATAGTTGTTTATTATTTCCTATTTTTACTACCCACTGCATCCTTTTACCCAAGCCAGCAACTCACTTTATTACTATTTTTTAAAATCTTTTGAGAATTAAACTTATTCTTGAAAGGTTTACATATTTATTTGTCCTGACTTTATTGAGTCAATGTAGTTTTTACCTAATGTTTTCACAGTAACCAAGAGATGCCACATGAATCCTCTGGGTTCCAGGCATAGATCAGCTGGCTACATTATAGTAAGAAAAAGACAGTTTCTTCCTGATAATGGAAATTAATCAAGTTAGCCAGATACAGACCTTGTGTTCTACCTACTGAACAACAATGAAATAATATAAGTACCTGAGAAATGTAGGCTTCCTATAAGAATTTATGAAATAATTCAAACAATGGTAAATTATTCCAGCTATATATGGAAGACTTTTGTTGGAGAGACTGTTGAATAAATGTGCATGGTGACTCTTACTTTTAGAATATTAACCTTCATATTTTCTGACTTTTGAGTTCATTATTATTAAACCTTTAATATTAGCCTATTATGACTTTCACTTTAGAGTAATGTAAATCAGACAAAACTCAGGTAATAACAAATAAATTTCTTTTAAAAAATGACAATGGATAAGGATTCAGGAGAACTCTTTTAGCTGTGAAAATGATTGTCTTGTAGAAACCGTAATTGGTTCCTCTAATTGAGAGCCATCCTAACTGGGTTAGCTTTAACTGTTGGCATTAGCTGTAGCTACCTTAATTGTGTCTCCTGTACTTAAAAAATCACAGGAAGGAATATACTGGATTCCATCGGAAACACAACTCTTAAATAATGACCCAACAAATGTCATGATTAGACTCACAGAAACCAACAAATGATCTTTTGATTCCTACAATGTTAGGTTAGTTTACAGAGAACAAAATTCAATAATTGCATTTAATGACATCTGAAAATGACTACTTTTTTTTTAAGTTAAAGAAAGTAGAATTTGAGAAAACAAGTATATTGAGATTGATGTGCTTTCTATAACTTTTGAGGAAAGTGGATTGTTCGTTAGTTGACTAGGTTTAAAATGCCTTACAGTGTGATAATCAAAGTTTTAAAATGCTGCAGAAAAATACTACTACTAATAATTATTTAAGTAATAATTTTCTAATTTGAGGGTAAACATATTTGGCATGAGGTTTTCTTGAACTAGGATATATATAGTAGTAACCTATATGTTTTAATTGATACGTGATTTACTTACTATCTACCAATGTTAAAGTTACTTTTCTGTTCCTCTTGAATATTCTTAGATGTCTAATGAACTCAAATGGGAATGAAAGAATGGCCTTTAATTAAGAGATTATAAGGTGCATTTCCTAAAACCAAAGCATGTGGCAAGATTATTGACTCCAGTTTGCCACCAGCTCAGCACATTGGCTAATGGTTTTGATTACTAAAATACTAACAAATAATGGGGCCATAAAAAATTCAATTATCTATTGCTATGATACCAGTATGAAGATCCTAAAAGCATTCCAGTTGCCTGTAGGCCATTTGAAAATTACAACCATTAAACATATTTCATCTGTGATTTACAGTACAGCAGGGTTTTGTTTCTGGGGCTTTTCTTACTTGAGTCTTCAATTATAAAATATATTTCACATTAACATGATGGCAATTTGTGTGAAACATATAGGTTTCAAGTACCAACTACTTAGAATTTTGTTGCTTACCAGGAAGAATAAAAATATTAATTCAAATATCATTGCTGGATTTTTTAATGATCTATTGTTCTCTACTGCTAATTATAGATTCCAGGAGAGGAAAAAAAGCTATTAAATGTAAACTTCTCCCCACTGCTCTCAGATATTCATGAGTTTCATTTTGCTTCATAAATTTTATAAAGTAGGAGAAAATGGTGCCATAAAAACAGACAGATCTTGCAAAACCAACAATATTATACCAAAATGTAACGCATGAATTTTAGAATGAATATAGAGAACCCAGACCCATTCCTATACTTGTCCATGTCTTACGTAAAACCTTATTCAGGTACTTAATCTCTCATGCCTCCACTTTTTCCTCCAAAAATGAAAGGTATGCGTTTAGAGACTTCTGGGAGGGTAACATGTTCTAGTCAGTGGTGAAAAGAAAATGACTATTGCATTTAAATATAGGGGATTCTTGTTCTTTCACTTACCAACTTTTATTACTTCTATTTAACCTTAGGAAAGTTACATTTTCTAAGCCTCAGTTTACTTCATCTGTAATAAGAAGAAATAATTACTTCATTTGTTTATTTCGTTAATAAGAAAAATGCTTTGTACATTCCAGGTATTCAATGAATTATGTCATTTTCCTTGTATCATACCTCTTGTGCTTTAAATTTTCTTGTAGCTCATTCTATAATACTATCTTATGATTTTAACAAATGCAAAGCATACAAAATAAATCTCATGTCACTTTGATCACTCCAGCAATAGTTGCATGGGTATAATCATCCTATTTGCTTATTTAAGGTATTTTAGACAAATACTTAGCAAACGATGCCATAAAAACAAGTCTCACATTAAAAAATTCTGTGGTTGAGGGTTCAAAAATAAGCTATTTGGGGAAAAATCACTTCACAAGTAGTATAATTTTCTCTTACAAAAAAAGATTTTCTCATTAAATAAATACTAAGATTTGTATTTCCTCAGAGTGCTATGAAATGATTCTTTATTCTAAGTGTGTTAAGGTTAGCAATTACAGGGCTGAAGGCTAACAACCTACTAAAAATGTTTCTCATTTAAGGTTAGTTTATGTTCAGCCTAGATCGTATTTCATTTGTCCATTTTAACAGTAAAAAATACAATTTGAACCCTCATAAACCTTCATTTTCTGTGACTGTATTAGGTGTATGGCTCAAAGCTACTATTTAGGGGATGGGAAAACACTTGCCTTTTTGCAAGGGCCAAAGTTTAAGAAAATAGTCAAATGGAGACCAAGAGGCAAGATTAATCTCATCCTACTTTCTTTCATTTTATGTGCCAGTTTTCAAAATGAGCATTTAAAGACAGTCTATAATGCCCTCAACAATTTTCATTGATTATGAAACACTTCACCTTTTCAAGTGAATAGTTATTTATTCACTTCCCATAAGCTAATCACCACTTTTTATTCTATGTAGGCAAGTATAAGTGAGCTTATGATGAAGTAATATATGATGTTTACAAGTATTCCATGTATACATTTGGAGGAAAATGAACAAAAACTGATACCTCAAATGAACTTTTAAAAAAAAAGCATTGATAGAAATCTAGAAAGAGTATCTAATGTTTCTCTTTAAATCTATTTTTTCTTTTATTGAATAATTGTTACCATATTTTCCCAGTAATTGCAAAATTATGTCTAAGACTTAAGTTAGAGGTAAGTCAAAAAGAAAAGCAGAGCGTTTTTCAGGTTCCCCGCAATTCTTAAGGAATTACGAAGTTTTGGTAAACAACAAATGGAGAGACAGTGTATTGTAGAGTGCTAACTGAGTTCAAAACCCAGCTTTGCCAGTTTTTAGTTGCCTTGTACAATCATGATTTAATTCTAATTTCAAGTCCCCTCATTGTTGAAGTCAGGATAGTAATAACAGTACACTCACCATAGACTTATCTTAAAAATTAAATGAGTAGACATATATGAAATGACTTTGGCTAAACCTTATACATACATGTGTTCATTAAATGGAATACAACAAAACAAATAAGCAACCAAAGTTGGGGAAAAAGACGAATAATTGAGAAGAGCTAGCTTTGCTGTAGTGTGGTTAGAGACAGCCAGATTGTCATGTGTTAACTAAAATTTTCATGAATCCGCCTTGGCCACTTTCTTCTCCTTCCTCACTTCCTCACCTTCCCTCTTCTTTCTCCCATTCTTCCTCCCTCCTGAGCTTAGGCGCACACACACACACACACACACACACACACACACACACACACACACAATAAAGTATACTACAAAGGATTTTTTAAAATGTAATGAAGAACATATAAGGGAGTTGTAATTCATCTTAGTAGGATTTTTTATTGTCAATATTTTTCAAATCCTATGGGTATATTTATTTAAAAATACAGCTCTGTAAGTGCTCTCAGCTGGTTTGAAGTGGTCCTAAGCTACAATGCTTTCACTTTCTTTTGTCCAAGTTTTCTTCTTATAGAGTCCCAGTGATTATATAGCTAGTTGGGCAACATATCTGGTATGTGATCAATACGTTTAAAAATACATCAGTGTAAGCAAAAGAGTTCATGTGCATAGAACCTATTAGGATTTTGAAACATTTTTGAAGCTATAGTAAGCATTGGAAACATCTGTCCCCATCTTTCATGTAGATAAAAAGGTGAAGTTTTCAAAGGCAGAATTTGATCTAAATCTGCAACAAAGAAAAAAAAACAGTTGGGAAATATAAGAGGTTATTTCAATCTGTTAGGGAGCTAAATTCACTTATAAGCAGAAAACATGTTTAAATTGCAAATATGTCCAAAATTAATGAGAATGCACTTACAAATAACCACATTTTAGGACATCAAAGCTAAGATTAATAGTTTATAAAGACTTGAGTCAGAATGTTCCATCTTATGAATAAATGAGTAGATGAAATTATCCCGATCTAAGGAAGTCTGTCACACTCAGCCAAGTCTAATAAATAAGTACATGGAAAAATCAAGAAAGAATGATTAGATACTGACCCAGAAAAGAACTGAATCCTCTAACTCTTTGCCTTATTTGTACAAAGGAGTTGGGTATCTTTTATTTTCATATGTACTTTTTAAGAACACTGTGATTTTATACTCAATTTAAAGAAAATGGTGATTAAAGAGTAATAGAAACAATTTTGCCATCTACCAGTTGGTCTTTTAGCTTTCAAAAAGTTCAGTGTGTCTTAGAGTCAGGTATGGAGTCCAATATTATGTCATCGTTTTTACTGAATGTAAATAGAATATTTTGTAAACTGTTTCCTTATTGTAAACTATGTGGGGGCTCTATACTCTTAAGATCCTAAATGATCCTGTAATATAATTTTATATTATAAAAATGTCCTAATTCTTTAAAACTAAACAGTATAAAATGTTGAATTAGATTAGATTATGTTAAATTCTAGTGCCATGCTCTAATATTTTGCTATAATTTCCTTCAGTTTTCTGTGTCCTCTCTTTGTAAATTCTTCAAGCAGTTGATTCACTGGGCTCTTCTTGAAATATGGTGCCTTACTTGATTACTATATGGAGATTTGTTGAACAAACAATTTTTGCTCCCTGCCACTGTGCTTCTAAAATTGAATTTTTGCCATTCTCTCACTTCAAGGGGAACACAACTTCCTATGGGTTTGCATTTTAAAATGTAAACAAAGGAAGCAATAAACAAAGTCCTCTTATTTTTAACCTTTTTTTTCTCCTTCCTTATGCAGTTCTTTATTGAAAAATGCAGATTCATTCCCATGTCCTCTGTGGTAATATTCATTGTAGAAATCATTACGGATGTGAGGGCTCTCCCTTAATTAAGAACTAAAAGGCTTCATTTCCTAAAACAAAAGCATGTGGCGGGGTTTATTGATCTGGCCTATGTCGCCAGCTGAACACATTAGCAGAGGTTATTGATTACTCTAGTGGTAATGAGCTTGGGTTCCTTGTCAGGTGAAGTCCACATTCCTTGGGAGCATTTTCTTGAAACTGGCTAACATGGAAGTACATGTTCACTATGATATATGATGCAGTAGACTTTTAAAGCTTTATTGCCAATGAATCATTCTTTAAAAATATAACAGCAGTCATTTAAAAGGTTATTTTCCAGTCATTATCTTTTTTATAATTTCTTCTGAATGCTAATGATACACTTCTGAATAGATGCTAAGCCAAAACAAGAGAAGCATTAAAGAAATGTAATCACATATGGCTCTTATTGCTTTTAATAAGTTTTCAAATAACCATCATCATTATCTTCTGATGACCAAGCTGAGTAACTTAACTAGTTCTGCTTTATCATTATCAGTAGTCATGATTTCTATCCAGTGTTTTAATAATAGCTGACAAAAACAGTTTTGAGAAGTGGTGACCAATAGGAAATTGTAATCCAGGCAGTAAAGAAAAAGACTCAAGTTTGCAGCATTTTTTAAGAAAAATGGCAGTAACTTCCTCATTAGGGGAACTATCTTAGAGAAGTATTTCTAAAATATACTTTGTCCCATCATTTCTCTTAGGGTAGAAGATCCAGTGTACCACTTACTAATTCATTCTAGTGGAACACTGCCAAATGGGAAGGGTGAGGCAATAAAGTGATTTGGTCTCCTTTTGATGGGACAACAAAAAGTTGACATTTGAGCTTCTAGGTTTATTATAAATATACAAGTGTTCAGCCAAAAGAAATGGAATAATATTAAAAATCACTTTTAGGAATGCATTTGGAAAATCATTAGACTATTTGATTTTTAAATATGCTATTTTTCACTATAGATAAACTAAAAATAAACCTGAGGGGAAATGTTCCATTCTGCTTAATGGAAGGAAGTGATCCTCATGAAAATAATATGAAATAGCTCAAAACAACCAATTAGAAAACTAAGATATGTTATTAGGAACATGGAATTTGTATGTTGATATTGGAATTTGGAATTACAATGGAAAAGATCATTGTATTTCAAACCTTCAATCTTTCATAGTCTGCTCAGAAGGTTCTGTTCAGCACCGAATATGTTACGAGGCCCTCTGGACCCATGATCAGACAAAGAAAACATCTACATTTCCCCTATGACCATTTCTGTTTCACCTGATTGAAGGAACATAATTATTTATAAAATTTGTGGATCAATTAAATCCCCAATCCCTGCCAGCCTACCAAAATATTATCCACAATGCAGAGATAGCCTGTGTTGCTCTATGTCTGCCAGACCTGACAGTATGTGTGCCCCTAATGTAATGAAATATAAACTTAATGCAGATGCCAACACAATGTGGAAAGAAATATGTTATTTCTTCGAGTTCAACTTTGAAGGTAGAGACAATTGATATTTGGAAATACAGAATCAGCTGCAGATTTCTGAAGTCAAGTTTATCAGCAGAGTAACAGAATTTTGGTATAAAGTTCTAATTCAGATTTTTAAAAAATATTCCCTTTGAAAGTGTGCTTATTTGGCTTGTTTTATATTTATTAAATTATCATGCCAATTGACTAGCTTTGGCTTAGTGTTTGTTAGGTGGTATCAGTAAAAGCAGCTTGCCTTCTATGAGAAATGGGGCCACCTCATGCCAAAAGCATTATACTCTTTAGCAATGGCAAGCGTGGCAGGTTTGTACTTCACACAAATTCTTCTTTTCTAATAACATAATTTTTAATGGAGATGGATCAATTATTGACAATAAAAAGGTAAAACTTTAAAACTAATTTAATGAAGGTTAATATTTTCTTAAAAGCATGACTCACTTTTGAGAGAAAGAAAAGCAAAGTTGTGGTAATTTTTGCTATTTATAAAACCATGGCATAAATATTGCTATACTGTTGGCCCTTGAACAACAGGAGATGGGGCACCAACTCCCTGAGCAGTTGAAAATCCATAGATAATTTTTGACTCTTCCAAAGCTTAACTGCTAATAGCAGCAGTTGCCCAGAAGCCTTACCAATAACATAGACAGCCAACTAACAGATATTTTATATGCTTTATGTATTATATGCTGTATTCTTAACCCCAAAGCTTAACTACTAATAGCAGCAGTTGACCAGAAGCCTTACCAATAACATAAACTATCAACTAACAGATATTTTTTATGCTATATGTATTATATGGTGTATTCTTACAAAAATTTAAGCTACAGAAAAGAAAATGTTATTAAGGAAATCATAAGGAAGAGAAAATATATTTACCATTCACTAAGTGGAAGTAGAGCCATCATAAATATTTTCATCTTCATCATCTTCATGGTGAATAGGCTGAGAAGGAGGAAAAAGAGGAGGAGTTGGTTTTGTTGTCTCATGGGTGGCAGAGGCAGAAAAGAAATCCACGTATAATTGTACCTGCACGGTTCAGACTCATGTTGTTCAAAAGTCAACTCTATTATCATTGTAGACCAAGTAAAAACCAATAATACTGTGTATCATCATGATGATTAATTTTAGGTATCAAGTTGAATGGATTAAGAAATACCTGGAAATCTGGTAAAACATTATTTTTTAGTATGTCTGTGAGGATGATTCCAGAGGTGATTTGCATGTGAATCTTAGTGAACTGAGGGTGGAAGATCTGCCCTCCATATGGGTGGGCACCAACCAATCTTCTTGGGGCCTGGAGAAAAGAAAAATGAGAAAAGGTGATTATGTCAATCTATCTGCTGGAGCTGGCCACAGTCTTCCTCTCCTGTCCTTGGACACCCACTCTAGGCTCCCTAGCATTTGGACTTCAGGACCTGACCCCTTGGGTTCTCAGGCCTTCAGCCTCAGACTTAGAGTTAGAACATCAGCTTTTCTGGTTCTGAGGCTTTTGTATTTAGACTGAGCCACACTACCAGCATACCAGGGTCACCAGCTTGCAGATGACCTGTCGTGAGACTTCTCAGCCTCTGTAATCAAGACAGCCAATTCCCCTAATAAATTCAGTCTCATCTCTCTCTATCTTTCTGCTCTCCCCTCTCTCTATATATACGTACCTATTGGTTGTATATATAGTATACAGTATATAGTATCCTATATAGAGTATCCTATTGGTTGTCTCTCTGGAGAAACCTGACTTACACAATTATTTATCTCTCCTCAACAATGAGCAAAGCTTGTTTGGGATGTTAAAAAACGTTTTGATGTCTGCATATGAATAGCTGATTCAGGGAAAAAGTACAAATACAATTAAAGTATTTTAAAATAAAGCCTAGGAGGAAAATCTGAATTAACTGCTGTTATTTATAGTTACGTAAATAACTATATATATATAACTACAATATATTGTAGTTAACAATATATGTATATATAACTACAATATATGTATCATATACATATATAATATATGTTTAATATATGTATGATATAAATATAATATATAGTTAACTATAATATATTATAGTTCTATAACTACAACTTATAATAATTATTATATATAATTATATAATATATATTCATATATATAAATAACTGTATGCTATATATATAACTACATGTAGTTATATATACAGTTATTTGTATAACTATAAATAACAGTAGGATGGCATCTGAGATTTGATCAATCCATTGTAATCTCTAAAAAAAATCATATAGTGTCAAATAAAGGATATTTGTTCACCAGCAGGGATAGAACAAATTAGCCATCAGTTTGCTTCTCCAGGACATACAGAATAATGTATAAATTTCTTACCAGAAAATCTCAGTGCCTCCACAGTCCTGTTCTACTATCTGTTCCAAGTTTGTCCATTTGCAGTCACACACACACACACACACACACACACACACACACACACACACTAGTACAATAGCAGAGGAGTCATATTTTTTCTTCTCCAAACATGCTTTACCTTACTGCAGTTCTGTTTATCCTGTTCTCTTCTTGGAATGTTTACTATCCCAACTCTGTTTGTCCAAATTGGCCCAAATCCAAGAATACAAACTTGACCTATGGAATAAAAATGGAGCTTTAGATACTGTGCTATTCTCACTAGTCTTTTTGTATCTTACCACTTTATATCTTGTATTATAATTTACACACAGCATCTGTCACCTTTTCAAGCCTGAATATTGTGCCAATACAGGTTTTGAATTTTATACATCTTTATGTCCTCCTTAAGCATCTGGAACAATTCCCTGCATGATAGAAAACGCATACTTTGAATTGAATAAAATTGAGATGATACCTTGGAATGCTCTTTCTATCCAAATATACTGCCACTTTTACACTACGAAGGTTTATTTTACTTTGTCTTATAATATTAGGGGAGTTAAATGTTAAGAGTTCTTTCATCCAATATAGCCCAGAGTTTGTGCTGTCATACTTTCTAACATACACAGTTTAGGAGTAGCTGCAATATACTATACTGCTCCCCGTACCCCTGCCTTTTTTTTTTTAACTATTCAATTTCTGAGATTTTCTTCTTTGTTATCAAATCCTACACTGCTTCTTCTTGACACCACCATCTTATTCCATCTTCAGTGTGGCTTTTCAATAAACACCAGGAAGATCTAGTTTCAAATCCTGCTTTTAAAAACTTAAATGTTCTGTATTACTTTATAAGTTTTCTGCCAAATATCAGTCTTTTTATCGGCCTCATATGTTTTCTGTGAGCATTAAATAAATAATGCATGTAAAGCATCTAGTAGATTGCCTGATACATAGCAATACTTGATAATTATGTTTTTAAAATTAATAATAATTGTCATGACATTAGACTTCTCTTCAAATCAGTATTTGGAAACGAACCTAGGCATATAAAGCATTGCAAATTTAAGCCACATTAGTCATACAACTGTAAGGCAGCTTAAACTCTGTTGCTATAAAAATAATAATTTCTGCCAAGGTAGTAATGTGACAAAATGAGATAGTGGGCAAATAATTCTTTCAAAATTCAAGAAATCATCTTAATTATGACCTGTTACAATGGAATCAGCCACTCATTTTAGCCGTAAAAGTTTAGAGAACCATGACTTTTACATCCAGAAGTAATTATTTTATTTTATTTATTTTAAAGATGAGAGAATTAAGAATAAATGAGGTGAGGTTGAAAATGGTATGAGCTTGGAACATGATTAACATGAACTCACATTTTTGTTCTTCTCTACTAATGGTCATCTCCCCCACTAAGCCTGTTTCCTTATCTTTAAATGGATTTAACAGTGCCCATTTTATAGAAATGTTAGCCAAAAAAGGGATTATATTAAAAAGACTACTTCTGTGCATGAACTTACTCAACAGATGTTAATAGCCTCCCTGTCTCTCAAATACACACACAACACACACACACACACACACACACACACACACACACAGAGATTGATAATGAATTGTTCAATGCCCACAGCAGAACTGTCTCTTCTTCTTTGTCTGTAAGGACTAGTCAAATTGCTAGTATTTAAACAATATATTTAATAGCGTCTAATGCATAAATAGATTTAAAAAAACAAAACTTTAATTTCTTTCAAGTTATATGAGATTTTTACAGAGTAGTCTCAACCAATTCAATACTCTGGAAAACAGTTATAGTGTATAACATAAAATTGTGTTTTTACATCAGTTGAAACAAAGAAAACAGTACAGATTATCTAATGACACATTTTCTAGTCACTGTGTTCTACTTACCTGTTATACCTTCTTCTTATATTCAGCCATTAGTATCTCTTTCCATATAATTCCATACTTATTTGAATTCTATTTACTTTGCCATGCCAATCAATTTTTATGTCATAATTTAGTTAATTCTAAACTTCTCAAACTTCTTATGAAATTCAATAGTTTCATGATGGCATTTCTATTAATAATGGCTCATTATCTCAAGAGTACTAATGACAGAATTTTATATAAGCTTCTTCAGCCTGCAGCAGATAACAAAGCTATAATAATATCTGACTAAGAGGGTAATGCAGTCTTCTGTCCATTCGTGTAGAAGTCTACTCTGAGAACTCCAGGTTACACAGAAGAGCTGGTTTCCTCCTCTACTACATGAACATTCCTGAACAGGCCTGTTGTAGATAACAGATAGATAAGAGAATGAGGAGCCTGCATACTGTTTAGGCAGCCACAGTACGAAGAGAAGAAAGTGATTTCTGTATTTATAATGATTCTTTCTTCTTTCCTTATACAAAATATATTGCAAGGTAAACATTTTAAATTCCATCAATAGCACTCTTTAGTTATGACATTCTTCATGACCATTTTGCAGACCACTACTGTTTCCTAATTTAAAAAATAAATATGGATACGGAGTTTTAAAAATTTATGAAGGGGAATTTTAAGTTATCCAATTATAATGACTACTGACGGAGAGACACGATAAATTAACCAAACAGATGCTTGTTTGAATTTTAATGTCAAGAAATAATTCAGGGAGTAAAAAAAGTGTCTTTTTTTGATATTACTTTTTTTTTTGAGATGGAGTCTTGCCTGTTGCCCAGGCTGTAGTGCAGTGGCGTGATCTTGGCTCACTGCAACCTCCGCCTCCCAGGTTCAAGGACTGTCCTGCCTCAGCCTCCCGAGTAGCTGGGATTACAGGCACATGCTACTACGCCCAGCTAATTTTTTTGTATTTTTAGTACAGGTGGGGTTTCTCCATGTTGGCCAGGCTGGTCTTGAACTCCTGACCTCAGGTGATCCACCTGCCTCAGCCTCCCAAAGTGCTGGGATTAACTGCGTGAGCTACCGCTCCCGGCCTTGATATTACTTTTGAAGGGGTAATACAGTAATAGCACAGATGACTTTTCTCTTTAAAAGCGTATGTGTTGACTTATCTTACATAGGAGTATAGCTATAGTCTTCATTGGGTGTTCCATTTAATATTCTTATATACTGAGGAAATTCTCATTTAACTAAAATAATTCATCAGACTTTAATATATGTCATACAATAAATTATATATTTCCATGTTCATATAAAGAAATGTTAGTAATAAAAATTTATGAGCTGCAATAATATGGATTAATCTTAGCAACATGATAATCAGGGTAAAATACCACCGAATATTTGCATATATTGTTATATCTTTTAAACAAAAAAAATTTAATAAAGCTTGCAGATAAAGTAAAATTATATATATAAAATTTATATTTACAATAAAACAAGAGAATGATGAAAGCAGAATTTAGGATGATGGCTACATTGAAGAAAGTCAGAGGAATGGGTTGGTAAGAGGCACTGCAGTGTTAGACATAGGCTATTATTGATCCTATCTTTTAAGGTGTGTTCTGCAGTTTAGGTGCCGCCAATCCTCAAAGCTAAAATGATTTAATACCAAAGTACACAATATAGTAATAGATTATAACCTGAAGCAGAAAATAAATCTATACAAATCTAAATAAACAGTTGAATAATTAATAAATGAGAGAGTAGAGATATATCCCTTGTACACACAAAATTTAAATAATTTATGTAGCTACTACTCCCTATGTTGGTGAAGCTTAACTTTTGCCCCTTCCCTTGCATGTGGAATGTGCATAGTGGTTTGCCTCCAAATTGTAGAAAATGAAAGAGGGAGGAGGGGAAGAAGTAACTCTACAATGTGGAAATCTGTTAAGTACTACTTCAGTCAGGCAATCAAGGTTAGTATCTTCAGTACAAAGTCATTTTAATAATATGGATCCTTGATATAATGGGATGAAAATCACACTTCTGTGGTCCTCTCAAAAAACAATGGGTGAGAACTTCTGCTTTCAAAATGGCAGCATAGAAGAAAGCTGGCTTCCCTCTGCCCCTTGCCTTCCGCTACCAGGAAAACCAAAAATCAAATATATAATTCCAAGATTATCACCAGAAATATCCCAGAACTCAAATATGAAGATGAGACAGTTTCTGGGGTCACAGAAAAGTAAAAAATCTCTGAGATGATGGTAAGAGAATGGGACTTAAACATCCATGAAAACCCTTCCTCCATTCTCTCCAGCACCAAGCATGTGGAAAATTTTCCCCCAGCTCACTGTGTCTGCACCGGAAAGAATGAGAAGAAAGTGGACAACCACCATCTTTTCCACCATCTTGGGTTCCCTGGCAGGCGACCTGTCCCTTCCTTAAACAATGGGAAGCATTACAAGTGCCTGAAGGAAGAAATATTTCTGAGGAGAGGCAGGGACAAAGGGAGAGGTCAAAGTTCTATTCCTAGCCCTAGAAACTCTGCTATGTAAAATGGCAAAATCAGAGTGTCTGTCCAGCATCACTACACTGTAGGAGGTTCATCCCACAGGTTCTCTAGGCATGAACCCCTAACTAGCTTTCCCATACTTCCAAGATACTCTCTTTGTGACTTCCTCTATTTTGGAAGATAAGTGCCCTGAATGGTTACTAGAGCCAATGTGAAAATTGGCTTAAGGCACCAACTAGAGCCAAAAAGAAGGCAACGACCTAGTGGTAAAGAATCTCTAAGCTAATACAACCAATAAAACACCAAAACAAACCAAAGAAGACTGAAATAAATAACTAGTCCTTCAATACAAAGACATAGACATACACCCATAAGGAACAATGGCAAACAGAGAATCATTATCTCCCCAAATGGACAAAGCAAGGAACCAGTAACTGACACTGAGACAGTGATTTGTGAGCCCTATGACCAAGAATTCAAAGGAAGTTCAGTAATTTCCAAGATAACATAGAACAGCAGTTCAGCAATTTATCAGCGAAATTTAACAAAGAGATTGAAATAATTTGAAAAAAAATCAAACAGAAATCTTGGAATTGAGGAATCGATTGCTGAACAGAAAAATATTTTAGAAGTTCTTAACAGCAGAATGAGTCAAGCAGAGAAAAGAATCAGTGAGCTTACAGACAGGCTGTTTAAAAATACATAGTGGAAGCTGGGCGCGGTGGCTCACCCTGTAATCCCAGCACTCTTGGGAGGCCGAGGCAGGTGGATCACAAGGTCAGGAGATTGAGACCATCCTGGCTAACACGGTGAAACCCCGTGTCTACTAAAAAATACAAAAAATTAGCCGGGCGTGGTGGCGGGTGCCTGTAGTCCCAGCTACTGGGGAGGCTGAGGCAAGAGACTGGCGGGAATCCGGGAGGCGGAGCTTGCAGTGAGCCGAGATCGCGCCACTGCACTCCAGCCTGGGCAACAGACCGAGACTCGGTCTCAAAAGAAAAAAACAAAACAACATAGTGGAGAAAGAAAAAGAATGAAAAGCGATACAGATTGCCTATAAGATATAGAAAATTAACTCAAAAAAATCAAATCTAAGAACTGTTGATGTCTAATAGGGAATTGAGCAATAGTAAGGGGTTAGAAAACACTCTTAAGAAATCAAAACAGAAAATTTTCCAAATTTGAGCCAGATATGAATATCCAAGTACAAGAATGTCAGGGAATCCAAAAGGAGATTTAACCCAAATAAGACTGCCCCAAAGCATATAATAATCAAATGTCACAGGTCAGGGTCAAATAGAGAACCCTAGAAGCAGCAAGAGAAAAGAAATAAATGACAAGCTTTAATTCATCTGAAAGCTGACTTCTCAGTGGAAACCAGGCAGGGTAGGAGAGAGTAAAATGACATTTTCAAAGTATTGAAAGAAAAAAGAAACAAACAAACAAAAAAAAGAAAACAAAAAGAAAAAAATAACGACAACAACAGCAAATTGCCACTCTAGAATATTGTATCCATTACAGTTTTATTTCAAATATAAAGGAGAATGTCTTTACCAGACAAATAAAAACTGAGAGAATTCACCACCACCTCAACCATCTTACAAAAAATGCTAAAAGTTCTTCAATCTGAAGGAAAAAAATCACTGATGTGCAAAAATAACAAACCAAAAATTGAAGGAATAAAACCCACTGGTAAAGCAAGTACATGGACAAACCTGGAAAACTCAAATATGTTAATTGTGGCATGTAATTTATATATAATTTTACTAAGAAACACAAAAAACAAACCTACAAAATGGTAATAATACCTATAGCAACCTGTTAAGAAATAGATACTATAAAATATGTAAGTTAAGGCCAAACATGGTGGCTCATGCTTATAATCCCAGTGCTTTGGAAGACCAGGGGAGAATCACCTTAGGTCAGGAGTTTGAGACTAGCCTGGGAAACATAATGAGACTCTCTCTACAAAGATTAAAAAAAAAAAAAAATAGCTGCATGTGGTGGAATGTGCATGCAGTCCTAGCTACTTGGGAGGCTGATGCAGGAGGATTGCTTGAGCCCAGGAGTATGAGGCTGCCGTGAGCTATGATTGTGTCACTGCTCTCCAGCCTAGATGACAGAGTGAGATGCTGTCTGAAACAAACAAACAAACAAACAAAAAAACTGTGTGAGTTTTCTAATTTATATAAACAGAAATCTGGAGAACAGGCATGTGAATAGATATTAAGGGTGTAGGATAATGGTGGAAGAAATGTAGAAACGTAGAGGTGAATCAGGCTGAATTTATTGATTTGGGCCCACTTAGTAGTGACTCTGCATTTAATGTTGCAGCTTCGGGGGTTAAAAAAGGTTCTAATAGGCTGGGCATGGTGGCTCACGCCTGTAATCCCAGCTCTTTGAGGGGCCAAGGCAGGTGGATCACGATGTCAGGAGTTTGAGACCAGCCTGGCCAATATAGTGAAACCCCGTCTCTACTAAAGAGAAAACAAAAATTAGCCGAGTGTGGTGGTGCATGCCTGTAGTCCCAGCTACTCAGGAGGCTGAGGCATGTGAATTGCTTGAACTCGGGAGGTGGAGGTTGCAGTGATCCAAGATCGCACCACTGCACTCCGGCCTGGGCGACAGAGCAAGAGTGTCTTAAAAAAAAAAAAAAAAAAAAAAAGATGGCCCATTGTGAGCAAGCTGGAAATGCCTGATCTCCCATAGTTTAATGTAGAAGGGACCCAAAGGCTTAGGGAGATTGGGATGGTAGAGTGGATTAGTCACTTTAGACCTACTCATTCCAGCTGCAAGGGTCCAGAAGATACCCCTATGACCAAGGCCTTGCAAAATAGGTTTGTGAGGGGAGCACCTACATCTTTGAAGAGCCCTGTAATTGCTCTTCTCTGTATTTCAGATCTAACAGTGGGAACTGGAGTCACTCCACTACAAAATTTAAATACAATGGGAATAATTGGATCCTGAGGTGGCAGGGGCTAAGTGGCAGCACTCAACTGTCAAAGGCAAGATGGCTGTAGCTACCATAATGGACAGCAGAGATAAAGGAGCAATCGAAGTAGTCTGACTCAAATAGAGCTCTGGCATTGGCTAATTAATCATGGCGTTCCTAGAAGTGAAACTGATAGGAAGCCTACTGCATTCCTACTTGATTTATACAAGCAGAAAACTTCTAGGTTAAATGAACAAAAAACTAATTTGAATTATAAAAACAGAGAATCACGTCCCCTCAATCAATTTGCAGACTTGAACTAGTTTATACACCCAGAAACCCTTGAATGAAGGGGAGGCCCGGTCCCCTTGAGGAAGGACTCCACTACATTACTGACAATTTATGCAGTGAATCTTTCCTTCATCCTTCCCCAAGGAGACCTCTGGCCTTTTACTGGGGTAGCTGTGCATTGGGGAAAGGGAAATGATCAGACGTTTTGGGGACTACTGGACACTGGCTCTGAGCTGATGTTGATTCCAGGGAACCCAAAACATCATCAAAGTCCTCCAGTTAAAGTAGGGGCTTATGGCACTTAGGTAAGTAATGGAGTTTTAGTTCAGATCTGACTTACAGTGGGTCCAGTGTGTCCCCAGACTCATCCTGTGGTCACTTCCCCAGTGCCAGAATGCACAATTGGCATAGATATACTTAGCAATGAGAAGAACCCCCACATTGGTTCCCTGAGTGGTATGATGAGTACCATTATGGTGGGAAAGGCCAAATGTAAGCCATTAGAGCTGGCTCTACTTAGAAAAATAGTAAATCAAAAACAATATATGAAGGATAGTTCTGTTATGTTAGGCATAATTTGACCTTCTTATTGTCTTTATTTGAAGATTTCATGTAATCTCAGGAGATGCATATGGGTTTACATTGACAAGGGGTAGACTTCTGATGGTTAATACTGAGTGTCAACTTGACTGGATTGAAGGATGCAAAGTACTGATCCTGGGTGTGTCTGTGAGGGTGTTGCCAAAAGAGATTAACATTTGAGTCAATGGGCTGGGAAAGGCAGACTCACTCTTAATCTGGGTGGGCAGTCATCGTCTAATCAGTTGCCAGCAAGGCTAGAATATAAAGGAGGCAGAAAAAAATGTGAACAGACTAGACTGGCCTAGCCTCCCACCCTACATCATTCTCTCATGCTGGATGCCTCCTGCCCTCAAACATCGGACTCCAAGTTCTTCAGTTCTCAAGTTCTCATACTGGTTTTCTTTGCTCCTCAGCTTGTAGACAACCTATTGTGGGACCTTGTGATAGTGTGAGTTAATACTTAATAAACTCCCCTTTATATATATATTCTATTAGTTCTGTCCCTCTAGAGAACCCTGACTAATACAAATATACATAGAAAAACTCTCAACATAATACTTGCAAACCAAAGTCAACAACACGCAGGCAACCAAAGCAAAAATAGACAACTGAGATTACATTAAGTGGAAAAGCTTCTGCATAGCACAAGAAACAACCAACAAAGTGAGGAGACAACCCACAGAATTGGAGAAAACATTTGCAAACTATCCATCTGACAAGGGATTAATAACCAGAATATGTAAGTAGCAAAAGCAACTCAATAACAAAAATAATCCCGAATAATCCAATTAAAAATAGGCAAAATAAAGAAACATTTCTAAAAGAAGACATAGAAATGGCCAATAAGTATATAAAAAATGCTTAATATTGCTAATCATTAGAGAATGTAAATCAAAACTACAATGAGATTTCATCTCACCCCAGTTAAAATGGCTTTTATCTAAAAACAGGCAATAATAGATGCTGGTGAAGATGGTGAGAGAGCGGGACCCTTGTACATTGTTGGTGGGAATGTAAATTAGTATAGGCAATTTACAGAACAATATAGAGGTTCTTGAAAAAACCGAAAATAGATCTATCGTATGGTCCAACAATTCCACTCCTAGGTATATAGCCAAATAAAGAAAATCAATGTATTGAAAAGTCATCTGCACTTTCATTTTTATTGTAACACTATTCACACTAGCTAAAATATGGAATTAACCTAAGTGCAACAACTGATGAAGAAAATGTGCTATATATTTCAATGAAATATTATTCTGCCATAAAAATAATGAAATCTTGTCATTTGCAGCAACATGGATGAAACTGGCAGTCATTATGTTAAGTGAAATAAATTGAGCACAGAAAGAGAAATACTGCATATTCTCACCCATATGTGGGAGCTAAGAGAGTAGATTGGTGGTTACCAGAGGCTGGAAGGGTGGAGGGGAGGGAGGGGAGGAAAAACAAGTGCTTAATAGGTACAAATATAGAATTTGATAGAGGAAATTGGACTTGGTGTTAGATAGATTAGTTGGGTGACATCAGTTTACAATAATGTATAGCATATTTCAAATTTGCTAGAAGAGAAGAATTTGAGTGATCCTAGCATAAAGAAAAAAATACATATTTAATGTGAGGAATATCCTAAGTACACTGATTTGATCTTTACAAATTATATGAATGTATTAAATATCACATGTACCCCAAAATGATGTACTCTATTATGCGGCAATGAAAATGTGGTAAAAAAATAAAAATGGGCTCAGTCTAGCCATGAGATAAAGAATGTGACAAACCAAATTTAGTGTTTTAGTCTGTTTGGGGTGCCATAAAAAATATCACAGTTGTGTAACTTAACAGGCATTTATTTTCTCACAGTTCTGGAGGCTGAAAGTCCAACATCGAGGTCCCTGCTTTATGTATTTCCAGTGAGACCTCTTTTCCTGGCTTGCAGTTGAACACTTCTCACTGTGCCCTCACATAACCTTTCCTCTGTGAGCATGTGTGGAGAGAGAGTGTGAGCTCTGGTGCTTTTTCTTTGTCTTATAAGGACACCAGTCCTATGGGATCAGATCGCCACTCTTATAACTTCAATTAACCTTAATTGCCTCCTTACAGGCCTTATGTCTAAATACAATCACCCGGCAGTTTCAAGCTTAACATACACATTTTGGAGAGGGACACAATTCAGTACACAGCATTGAGAAGAAGCATTATTCAAAATCCTAAATACTATTCCTAAAAACAAAATTATTAAGGACAAGAGAAGGCTGAGAAACTGTCACAGATCAGAGGAGGCTAGACAGACAGACATGACTACATGTAAAGTGGTACCGTGAGTGAGATCTTGGAAAAAAAAAAAAAAAGAACATTGGGAAGAACATATAAATTATGAATTAGTTGTACAATTTAGTAATACTCATGCACCAAAATTGGTTTTTATTGTGACAAACATCCAGTAATGATGTAGGGTGTTAAAACAGGAAAAAGTGAGAGAGATACAGAAATTCTAAGTTTACATTTCTGTAAATCTAAACATATTGTGAAGTGGAAGTTGTATTTAAAAAAAGAAAAGAAAAAATTACTAAAGGGAAACTAAAATAAATACAAAGGAAAATTAGGCCATCCATGAGCCGATTAATGAGAGAGCTTTACTAAAAAAGGATTGTAATTATGTTGGGTGTCCTGAAGACCACCCTCAGACTCAACAATATGCTGGAAGGATTAACAGAGCTCAGTAAATCAGTCATATTTATAGTTATGGTTTATTACAGAGAAAGAGAATAGATTAACATTAGAAATGGAAAAGGCGGGATCCCACTGCAACTCAGCAAGGCCACTGCAACCAGACTGCCTCTCTAGATTCCCTCTTTTCTGGGCAGGACATCTCTGAAAAAAGGCAGCAGCCCCAGTCAGGGACATAGAAATAAAACCTTCACCTCCCTGGGACAGAGCACCTTGGGGAAGGGGCGGTTGTGGGCACAGCTTCAGCAGACAGAAATGTCCCTACCTGGCAGCTCTGAAGAGAGCAGCAGATCTCCCAGCACAGCGTTTGAGCTCTGATAAGGGACAGCCTGCCTCCCCAAGTGGGTCTCTGACCCCCATGTATCCTGACTGGGGGACACCTCCCAGTAGGGGCCAACAGATGCCTCATACAGGAGAGCTCTGGCATCTGGCAGGTGCCCCTCTGGGATGCAGCTTCCAGAGGAAGGAACAGGCAGAAATCTTTGCTGTTCTGCAGCCTCCATCAGTGATACCAAGGCAAAAGGTATGGAGCAGACCTCCAGCAAACTCCAGCAGACCTGCAGCAGAGGGGCCTGATTGTTAGAAGGAAAACCAACAAACAGAAAGGAATAGTATCAATATCAACAAAAAGGACATCCACTCAGAGACCCCATCCGAAGGTCACCGACTTCAAAGAGCAAAGGTAGATAAATCCATGAAGATGGGGAGAAACCACTGCAAAAAGGCTGAAAATTAGAAAAACCAGAATGCTTCTTCTCCTCCAATGGATTACAACTCCTTACCAGCAAGGAAACAAAACTGGACAGAGAATGAGTTTGATGAATTCACAGAAGTAGGCTTCAGAAGGTGGGTAATATCAAACTCCTTCAAGCTAAAGGAGCATGTTCTAATCCAATACAAGGAAGCTAAGAACCATGAAAAAAGGTTAGATGAATAGCTAACTAGAATAACCAGTTTAAAGAAGAACATAAATGACCTGATGGAGTTGAAAAACACAGCATGAGAACTTCATGAAGCATCAATAGCCAATCAATAGCATCAATCAAAACAAGTATCCATAGCCAAATTGATCAAGCAGAAGAAAGGATATCAGAGGTTGAAGATCAACTCAACGAAATAAAGTGGGAAGACAAGATTAGAGAAAAAAGAGTGAGAAGAAACAAACAAAGCCTCCAAGAAATATGGGACTATGTGAAAAGACCAAATCTACATTTGATTGGTGTACCCGAAAGTGATGGGGAGAATGGAACCATGTTGGAAAACACTCTTCAGGATATTATCTGGGAGAACTTCCCCAACTCAGCAAGGCAGGCTATTGGGGGAACCACGCCCGATAATTCAACGTAGATTCTTTTCTGTTTTCCATAAGTGTCGGCTGGTCTGAGAAATAAAGGGAAAGAGTACAAAAGAGAGAAATTTTAAAGCTGGGTTTCCAGGGGAGACATCACATGTCGGCAGGTTCCGTGATGCCCCATGAGCTGTAAAACCAGCAAGTTTTTATTAGCAATTTTCAAAAGGGAGGGAGTGTATGAATAGGGTGTGGGTCACAGAAATCACATGCTTCACAAGGCGTAAAATATCACAAGGCAAATGGGGGCAGAGCGAGATCACAGGACCTGGGCGAAATTAAAATTACTAATGAAGTTTCATGTCCCACTGGGCACACATTGTCATTGATAACATCTTATCAGGAGACAGGGTTTGGGAGCAGACAACTGGTCTGACTGAAATTTACTAGGCAGGAATTTCCTCATCCTAATAGGCCTGGGAGCGCTACAGGAGACCAGGACTTATTTCATCCCTTATCTACAGCCATATATGACAGACACTCCCAGAGTGGCGGCCATTTTAGAGACCTACCCCTGGGAATGCATTCTCTTTCTCAGGGCTGTTCCTTGCTGAGAAAAAGAATTCAGCGATATTTCTCTTATTCACTTTTGTAAGAAGAGAAATATGGCTCTGTTCCACCTGGCTCTCAGGCAGTCAGACCTAATGGTTATCTCCCTTGTTCCCTGAACATCGCTATTATCCTGTTCTTTTTTCAAGGTGCCCAGATTTCATATTGTTTAAACACACATGCTTTAGAAACAATTTGTGCAGTTAACACAATCATCACAGGGTCCTGAGGTAATGTACATCCTCAGCTTATGAAGTCGACTTGATTAAGAGATTAAACACAGGCATAGGAAATCACAAGAATATTGATTAGGGAAGTGATAAATGTCCATGAAATCTTCACAATTTATGTTCAGAGATTGCAGTAAAGTCAGGTGTAAGAAATTATAAAAGTATTAATTTGGGGAACTAATAAATGTCCATGAAATCTTCACAATTTATGTTCTTCTGCCATGGCTTCAGCCAGTGCCTTCATGTGGGGTCCCTGACTTCCCGCAACAGCAAGCCAACATTCAAATTCAGGAAATACAGACAACACCACAAAGATACTCCTAAAGAAGAGCAACCCCAAGACACATAATTGTCAGATTCACCAAGGTTGAAATGAAGGAAAAAATTTTAAAGGCAGCCAAAGAGAAAGGTTGGGTTACCCACAAAGAGAAGCCCATCAGACTAACAGTGGATCTCTGAGCAGAAACCCTACAAGTCAGAAGAGAGTGGGGGCCAATATTCAACATTCTTAAATAAAAGAATTTTCAACCCAGAATTTCAATCCAGCCAAACTAAGCTTCATAAGTGAAGGAGAAATAAAATCCTTTATAGACAAGGAAATGCTGAGAGATCTTGTTATCACCAGGCCTGCTGTACAAGAGCTCCTGAAGGAAGCACTAAACATGGGAGGGGAAAATCTGGTACCAGCTACTGCAAAAACATACCAAATTGTAAAGGCCATCGACACTATGAAGAAACTGCATCAACTAACGGGTAAAATAACCAGCTAGCACCTTAATGGCAGGATCAAATTCACACATAACAATATTAACCTTAAATGTAAATGAGCTACATGCCTCAATTAAAAGACACAGACTGACAAATTGGATAAAGAGTCAAGACCCACCAGTGTGCTGTATTCAGGTATTCAGGAGACCCATCTCACCTGCAAAGACACACATAGGCTCAAAATAAAGGGATGGAGGAATATTTACCAAGCAAATGGAAAGGAAAAAAAAAAGGTTGCAATCCTAGTCTCTGATAAAACAGACTTTAAATCAACAAAGATCAAAAGAGACAAAGAAGGGCATTACATAATGGTAAAGGGATCAATGCAACAGGAAGAGCTAACTGTCCTAAATATATATGCACCCAATACAGGAGCACCCAGATTCATAAAGCAAGTTCTTAGAGACCTACAAAGAGACTTATACTCCCACATAATAATAGTGGGAGACTTTAACACATCACTGTCAATATTAAACCAATCAACAAGACAGAAAATTAACAAGGATATCCAGGACTTGACCTCAGCTCTGGACCAAGTGGACCTAATAGACATCTACAGAACTCTCCACCACAAATCAACAGGATATTCGTTCTTCTCAGCACCACATCGCACTTATTCTAAAATTAACTACATAATTGGAAGTAAAACACTCCTCAGCAAATGCAAAAGAATGGAAATCATAATGACAGTCTCTCAGACCACAGTGCAATCAAATTAGAACTCAGGATTAAGAAACTCATTCAAAACTGCACAACTACATGGAAACTGAACAACCTCCTCCTGAATGACTACTTGGTAAATAACGAAATGAAGGCGGAAATAAAGATGTTCTTTGAAACCAATGAGAACAAAGACACAACATACCAGAATCTCTGGGACACATTTAAAGCAGTGTGTAGAGGGAAATTTATAGCAGTAAATGCCCACAAGAGAAAGCAGGAAAGATCTAAAATCGACATCCTAACATCACAATTAAAATAACTAGAGAAGCAAGAGCAAACAAATTCAAAAGCCTGCAGAACACAAGAAATAACTAAGATCAGAGCAGAGCTGAAGGAGATAGAGACTTAAAAAATCCTTCAAAAAATCAATGAATCCAGGAGCTGGTTTTTTGAAAAGTTCAACAAAATAGACCACTAGCCAGACTAATAAAGAAGAAAAGGGAGAAGAATCAAATAGATGCAATAAAAAATGATAAAGGTGATATCACCAGTGATCCCACAGAAATACAAACTACCATCAGAGAATACTATAAACACCTCTATGCAAATAAACTAGAAAATCTAGAAGAAATGAATAAATTCCTGGATATATACACCCTTCCAAGACGAAACCAGGAAGAAGTTGAATCCCTGAATAAACCAATAACAAGTTCTGAAATTGAGGCAGCAATTAATAGCTTACCAACCAAAAATAGTCCTGGACCATATAGATTCACCGCTGAATTCTACCAGAGATACAAAGAGGAACTGGTACCATTCCTTCTGAAACTATTCCAAACAATAGAAAAAGAGGGACTCCTCCCTAACTCATTTTATGAGGCCAGCATCATCCTGATACCAAAACCTGGCAGAGACACAACAAAAGGAAATTTCAGGCCGATATCCCTGATGAACATCGATGCAAAAATATTAAATAAAATACTGGCAAACCATATCCAGCAGCACATCAAAAAGCTTATCCACCATGATCAAGTTAGCTTCATCCCTGGGGTGCAAGGCTGTTTCAACATATACAAATCAATAAATGTTATCCATCACATAAACAGAACTTATGACAAAAACCACAACATTATCTCAATAGATGCAGAAAAGTCCTTCAACAAAATTCAACAGCACTTCTTGCTAAAAACTCTCAATAAACTAGGCTTTGATGGAATGTATCTCAGAATAGTAAGAGCTATTTATGACAAACCCACAGGCAATATCATACTGAATGGGCAAAAACTGGAAGCATTCCCTTTGAAAACTGGCAAAAGACAAGAATGCCCTCTCTCACCACTCCTATTCAACCATAGTATTGGAAGTTCTGGCCAGGACACTCAGGCAAGAGAAAGAGATAAAGGGTATTCAATTAGGAAAAGAGGGATTCAAATTGTCTCTGTTTGTAGATGACATGATTGCATATTTAATACCCCATTTTCTCAGCCCCAAATCTCATTCAGCTGATAAGCAACTTTAGCAAAGTTTCAGGATACAAAATCAATGTGCAAAAATCACAAGCATTCCTATACACTGATAACAGACAAACAGAGAGCCAAATCATGAGTGAACTCTCATTCACAATTGCTACAAAGAGAATAAAATACCTAGGCATACAACTTACAAGGGATGTGAAAGACCTCTTCAAGGGGAACTACAAACCACTGCACAAGGAAATAAGACAGGACACAAACAAATAGAAAAACATTCCATGCTCATGGATAGGAAGAATCAGTATTGTGAAAATGGCCATACTGCCCAAAGTAATTTATAGATTCAATGCTATCCCCATCAAGTTACCAATGACTTTATTCACAGAATTGGAAAAAAGTACTTTAAATTTCATATGGAACCAAAAAAGAGCCCACGTAGCCACGACAATCCTAAGCAAAAAGAACAAAGCTGGAGGCATCACACTACCTGATTTGAAACTATACTACAAGGCTACGGTAACCAAAACAGCAAGGTACTGGTACCAAAACAGATATATAGATCAATGGATCAGAACAGAGGCCTCATAAATAACACCATACATCTACAACCATCTGATCTTTGACAAACCTGACAAAAACTAGCAATGGGGAAAGGATTCTCTATTTAATAAATGGTGTTGGGAAAACTGCCTAGTCATATGCCAAAAGCTGTACCTGGATCACTTCCTTATACCTTATACAAAAATTAAGATGGATTAAAGACTTAAATGTAAGACCTGAAACCATAAAAACCCTAGAAGGAAACTTAGGCAATACCATTCAGGACATAGGCATGGACAAAGACTTAATGAATAAAACACCAAAAGCAATGGCAACAAAAGCAAAAATAGAAAAATGGGATCTGACTAAACTAAAGAGCTTCTGCACAGCAAAAGAAACTATCATCAGAGTGAACAGGCAACCTACAGAATGAGAGAAAATTCTTGCAATCTATCCATCTGACAAAGGGCTATCCAGAAGCTACAAAGAACTTAAACAAATTTACAAGAAAAAAACAACCCCATCAAAAAGTGGGTGAAGGATATGAACAGACACTTCTCAAAAGAAGACATTTATGCAGCCAACAAGCATATGAAAAAAAGCTCATCATCACTGGTCATTAGAAAAATGCAAATCAAAACCACAGTGAGATACCATCTCACGCCATTTAGAATGGCAATCATTAAAAATTCAGGAAACAACAGATGCTGGAGAGGATGTGGAGAAATAGAAACGCTTTTACACTGTTGGTGGGAGTGTAAATCAGTTCAACCATTGTGGAAGACAGTGTGGCTATTCCTCAAGGATCTAGAACTAGAAATACCATTTGACCCAGCAATCTCATTACCTGGTATATACCCAAAGGATTATAAACCATTCTACTATAAAGACACATGCACTTGTACGTTTACTGTGGCACTGTTCACAATAGCAAAGTCTTGGAACCAACCTAAATCCCCATCAATGATAGACTGGATAAAGAATGTGGCACATATACACCATGGATTACTATGCAGCCATAAAAAAGGATGAGTTCATGTCCTTTTCAGGGACATGGTTGACACTGGAAATCATCATTCTCAGCAAACTAACACAAGAACAGAAAACCATACACCACATGTTCTCACTCATAAGTGGAAGTTGAACAATGAGAACACATGGACACAGCGGGGGAACATCATACACCAGGGCCTGTTGGGGTGGGAGGCTAGGGGAAAGGTAGCATCAGGAGAAATACCTAAAGTAGATGACGGGTTGGTGGCTGCAGCAAACCACCATGGCAAGTGTATTTTTATGCAACAAACCTGCACGTTCTGCATATGTACTCCAAAACTTAAAGTATAAAAAAAAAAAAAAAAGACATAGGAAAGGCGCATGGGTGAAATCAGACAAAAACTTCCAGGTGTCACCTTCCAGAAGAATTGCACTCAATTCACCTGACAACAACCTGTGACAACACATGTGATGTCTTGCCAACCAGGCTAGCTCACCTGAGCCTTGCAATCCAGATTTTTATTGGGGATCAGTCCCATAAGCATGCAGCAGCAGCTTGACTGAACTTAACTCCTCAGTTTCCATCTGCCTGGAGGTTAAATTGATACCATGTGGCCCAAATTCTCAGACACACCAAAACACTCTATCAGGCAGCACATTCCAAGGGCTCAGAGGTTATTTCTCAGGGGCTAGTCAAGTGTCAGTCTTTCTGAAGACAGGCCTGCCTTTAGACTATGCGGGGTTTTAGCAACCCAGGCCTACTGAACTAACTACTTATTGCATAAAAATAAATCTTTATTTGTACTTGAAGCTCCCAGGAATATAACAAAGAAAAATTAAATGATAGGGCAAGGATACTTGACCCTAAGGAATATAAAATTATAGAGAAGATATTCATGTGAAGGAAAAAAATTAAAAAAATCCGTGATTTAATAAAGGAAAATGAAGTTGTTACATTAACTCAAAAAGAAAGAATGATTATATTTTAAAAGTAACATAGATATAAACATTTTTTAAAAATCTGCCCAATTTAGCACTACCTTCTTTGATGAAATGTCCCCTTTTCTTTATGCTCTGAATGGGAGCTTCCATGCAAAGCCCAACCATTTGAGCACGGTTGCTCAAAAGTAGACACTGATTGAGACAGGCTAACTAACCTGCATCTTTAAAACTTTTTAGGATGTTTTTTCTACTTGGAACTAATAGCAATTAATTTACATCTCTTATATAAAGTTGGGACATACGAGTTGTGAGTGTTGTGAGACTGTGTATTAAGCTATGTGGAGGAAGCTCTGTGAAATAGTGAAGTTGACAGGAAGAAAGAACTAGAGCTGTAATATGGCAAGAGTTATGG